>NC_000010.11:80749155-80900671 GCF_000001405.40 Homo sapiens
TGCTTGGACCACCCAGGTCAGAACTATCAAAACATCAATTCATAAATCTACTTATTCTAAGTTATTCCATTTTCAACTGCTGTGGCACTAATTTTATCTATAGGTAACAATCTTACTAGAAGTTAAATTATTTTATGTAAATCCCTGGTTTATCTGTTACTTAACTAAAAATTATAATAATTTGCCAAGCAAATGAAACACATCTGCTGAAGTTCTTTTGTCAGATTTTCTTAATTATAAGAATGTTTTTGGAAACATGTCTACAAAATTAATAAAGAATTATGTATCTTCATGATTTTTAAAACTATCAATTGCCTACAAAACTAATATTGCATTATTTTCAAATAACTCAGAAATATATGAGATTGCTTGGGAAGGCCATAGTTTCAGAAGTAATTTGAACCAAATTTAAGTTCTATAGTTCAGCTAGACTTAAGCAATGTGTTCCTATCTGAAGTTCTTATCTATATTCAGGTCTTTCTGGCCACAGCATAATCTTCACTCACTGCACACATGAACGAAACATATATCCTGAATTGTATTTTCCTTCTATTTCTTGGCCCTGTTTACCTTCTGGAAACTTACAATCATCACAAACCTCCCTAGTTACTGGCAGCAAGAAAAGGTATCTGTAGAAGGCAATGTTTGAGCTCTGAGATGCCCATTACCTTTTCCATGATCCCACTGAGGTAGGAGGTTGGCAGGACTTGTTCTCCAGACCAGAATGAAGACAGCCTGTATTAGTCCATTTTCACACTACTATGAAGATACTACCTGAGACTGGGTAATTTATAAAGAAAGGAGATTTAATTGACTCAGTTCTGCATGGCTTGGGTGGCCTCACGAAACTTACAATCATGGTAGAAGGTGAAGGGGAAGCAGGTACTTTCTTCACAAGGTGGCAGGAGAGAGAGAGAAAGAAAGCTCGCAGAGGAAACTGCCACTTTTAAATCATCAGCTCTCCTGTGAAGTCCCTCACTATCACAAGAACAGCATGGGGAGACTGCCTCCATGATCCAGTCACCTGCCACCAGGCCCCTTCCTTGACATATGGGGAGTACAACTCGAGATGAGATTAGGGTGGGGCCACAGAGCCAAACCATATCACAGCCCCAAACCAGTAAGTGATGCTGAAGGCCACCTCTAGTTGCCCTTGCTGCCCATCAGCTTAAGACACTCCCACCAGCACCATGACAGTTTCCAAACATCATGGCAATGCCAGGAAGTTACCACCCATTTTCTAGCAATTTCTGAATAACCTGCCCCTTTATTTACATATTATTAAAATGAGCATAAATGCAACTGCCAGCCACCCATACACTGCTACTCTCTGCATGCTGCCTATGAGCTGAACTTGCTCTGCGGGAGCAGTCACAGAGTTTACTGCCGCAAACTCAGTAAAGATGCATTCTTCCACTGCCAGCTCGCTCTTGAATTTTTTCCCAATGAAGCCAAGAACCTGCCCTGCATCACTTCCTCAGGCTTCTGGGTGCTTTTACTACTTATGGCCATCTTAAGACTTATCTGTGGGCTATGATATAGCTGCCTTCGCAGTAGGCACAGAGAGAGGAAAGTGCCTGGGAGTTTATGCCAATGACTGGTTCAGGAGTATGAAAGCCCAGCTCCCTTGCCTCAGCACAGGAAAATCTCTGAGGTGTAATTTATATGAGATCCTACTGACTAACTTTGCCTGAAATTGCACCCTTGCCCTGTGGTTTCTTTTATTTCTGTGCTGCTCCCCACTCCTTACTGGTCTAGGAGTACTTCCTTAACACATCACTTGCTTATGATCTGTAGCTCAGAGTTGGCCTCAGGGGAACCTAGACCTATGACAGGGACCATCCTGATTGCAAACCGGTGATATTCATTTCTCTTCATATTTGGAATATCCGTGTTATAAGGAGAAGGGTGAGATTTTCAAATTTTATCATCCATGAAAAAAATAGGTGAAACTTGACCATGATTTTGGGAGGTTATCTTTTGAATGCTGTGGAGTGATCCTGCACAGGGCTAAGCACTGCACAGAATGAGAGCTGGAAAACCCAGCATTCCTAGAAGAAACTTAGCTTCATCCATTTTCTGGGCTGGGGAGATGGTGAGTTTTCTATGGGGACTTTGAGTCAGAAATGACGGGTCCTTTGCTTGGGTACTCTCACTGGTCCCTTGTTGGTAGTGACCTGTTCTGTTTCATATTTTTTTTTTTGTTCTTTTAAAAGACGAATGTCGCCAGGCGCGGTGGCTCACGCCGTAATCCCAGCACTTTGGGAGGCTGAGGTGCGTGGATCATTTGAGGTCAGGAGTTTGAGACCAGCCTGGCCAACATGGTGAAACCCCTTCTCTACTAAAAATACAAAAATTAGCTGGGCGAGGTGGCGCATGCCTGTAATACTCGGGAGGCTGAGGCAGGAGAATTGCATGAATCCAGGAAGTAGAGGTTGCAGTGAGCCAAGATGGCACCACTGCACTCCAGCCTGAGTGACAAAGCAAGACTCCATCTCAATACATAAAATAAATAAATAAATAAAAGACGAATGTCATTCCTGCATGAACTCTTCCAAGATCTTAAAATATGCTTATTTTACCGCATTTGTGAGATTGTTTTGCATTGTGTTGGTAGTGAACTCATCCCCTTATTATTAATCTTCTTGGCCACCCTTTGGAGTTTGCATTTCCTCTGGGCTCATACTGAGTAGGGTTTTTGTTTTCTCACTGTCTACGCTCACTTCTCCCTGCCCAGCAGTTTTATGGCCAAATGGAACTCCACGTGCAGGACTCCTATGCCATGTTGATATCACAGTTATTGTACACACAGGAGTTGGTCCTTCATAAACAGCATTCTCTTCTCCCTCCCAGAAGTGCTGTTGTTGATGCTTCAAGTTGCAGACCCAGGCATGGTTACAATTTGTTTTCAGCCTTCTTTCATCTGAGGGATCCAGTCCACATCCTGTTTTGTGTGGCAGATGGCTCTTTCCCTTAGTCACTGCTGGAGGTGGGTGGATGGGATCTCCATTATCCCTGTGGTGGAACCCTCAGCCACTTCTAGTTTTGACCTATAATCAACAAGGTTATGGGCTCAGAGCCTTCTTAGCATCTGATTAGGTTGGTTTTCTGTTTTTGGACTTCCACCGAGGAATTTCCTTTCTTGAAAAGTGGTATTGTATTAACTTTAAAAACTGCAATTAAAACTTTTAAACGGAATTGCTCTGTTGAGAGTGTTAGGGGTAGTTTAAAGCATAAACCTTGGATTAGAAGTCTAGCTTTGAGTTTCTTGAGGAAAATATTTGCATTCTCTCTTTAATCTATAAACACATAGGGTTAGCAGCTAGCCTTGTAATGAGCTTACAATAAAATACTTGCTCAATAAATATTTGGTTGAATAGTTTTATTTCTTTTATTTAATTGTGGTAATAACGGTTAAAATGAGATCTACTCTCTTAACTTTTTCTTTTGAGACGGTGTCTTGCTGTGTTGTCCTGGCTGGCCTTGATCTCCTGGGCTCAAGCAGTCCTCCTGCCTAAGCCCCCCAAATAGCTGGGACTACAGGTACATGCCACCATGTCTGGCTACTTGAAAAAATTTTAAGTGCACAATACATTATTGCTGACTCTAAGCACCATGTTGTACAGCAGATCTCTAGAGCTTATTTATTTTGCTGAACTGAAACTTTATGCCCATTAATTAGTAATCCTTCATTTTCCTCTTTCTCTGGGTAGCTTTCAAACTTATTTTTCAGCACTGGAGCTTTTTTCTCCGAACAAAATTGTATGTAAATGTCTTCGATATATTAAAAAAATACAAAATGATATTTTATTCATATGTAGGTATTAAGTTCACAGTTTTGACATTTACTTATTTTAAAGCCAATTATTGAGTTTAAGGAAACTTGGGAAAAATGAATTTTTTTTTCAATTCCTATGGATGAAAAAAACCATTTTAGCCTCAGCTTCCAATTTCTTTTTCTCTGTTTCCTTTTTAAAACTTACTTCTCTTTCTTTACTTTTCCCCCATCTCTCTCACTTTCTTCCTTTTTGTTTTTTAGATGTAGTTCTATTTGTTTGTTTTTGCATTATCCCCTAAGCACTTCCACAAGTGGTAGGTTCTATGAAAATCACTAGAATCACAGTATCCTGGGAGGACAATTGAACACTTTTGCAGGTCACACTGTGAGTCAGTGTCAAAGGTGGAGTCAGACCTGGTCTTCTTCCCACATGGGAGCCTTTTCTCTTACTGTGGTGTCATTCCAATGAGAAAGGAAACAGCCTGCAGAGTGAGGTTTGGCCACCTCTCCTGGTCTTACATGATTTGCAATGCCACAGGCAAAGCTTCAATCCTATCTTTTTCATGCGCCTACTTTTCTCACTCTCCTTCAAGACTCTCTTGCTCAGTGTGAACAGTGGGAACAACAGTGAATAAAAACCAACAGTTCCTGACCTCAGGTGATGCGTGGCTCTGAACATCAGCAGAGGATGAATTTGAGCCCTCCTTCCTATGCAGAGCACATGTGGATAGACTTTGTGGTTAATGCTCAGTGACAGGGTATTGACGGTCATATTTTCTTAATGTTTCCTGTTGCTTTCTGAACAGAATCTGGCAGCAAGTATCCAGGGAGAGGGGAATGTGATGTGCTCATTTCAATGGGATTTCAGCTGGAGAGCAGCAACCACAGCCTGGTGTTGTGATGGGCTGGTAAACATTAACAACCAGCTCTCTGGAAACTAAAGCTTTTGTTTGTAGCATTTACAATTTCCATGGTATAAACACTCCCAGCATGGGCAATTTCAAGCTATCAAAAATTTGACAACTGGTTTTCTCAAGCTGATACAAGCTGGCCCTGGCACACCTTTGGCTCAGAGGCATGTCGGTGAAGGGCATCCTGGCCACGTTCTCAGTGCTCTTGTTTTGTGTGGAGTTCCAGGTCAATGTATAAACCTCTAGCTCTTTTATCAGATTACTTTCTAGGATTCCTAGTTGTCCTCAACATCCTCACCCTTTGTGCCCTGCTGCTCCTTGTTGGAAGGTCCTTGATGGCAGGTGTTTAGATAAACAGTCATCACAATTGAATTCTGTTTTAGTTTTTGTTTGCAACTTGGAATGAGGGAAGTGACTTTTTATGAAGAGAAGCTGATATGGTTTGGCTGTGTCCCCACCCGCATCTCATCTTGAATTGTAGTTCCCATAATCTCCATGTGTCGTGGGAGGGACCCAGTGGGAGGTAATTGAATCGGGGGGGCGGTTACCCCCATGCTATTCTCATGGTAGTGAGTTCTCATGAGATCTGATGGTTTTATAAGGGGCCTTTCCCGCTTTGCTCAGCACTTTTCTCTCCTGCCGCCATGTAAAGAAGGACATGTTTGCTTTTCTTTCTGCCATGATTGTGAATTTCCTGAGGCCTCCAGCCATGCACAACTGTCAGTCAATTAAATCTCTTTTCTTTATAAATTACCCAGTCTCAGATATTTCTTCATAGCAGCATGGGAATGGACTAATACAGAAACCTTTTTTTTTTTTAAAAATAACTTTTTGGGAAAGGGTGAGAGTAAATAAAATCCTACCAATTTGGATTACCCATGATTCTGTCCTCTGGCTGCATAACATGGTAGAAGAAAGAGGGAGAAAATGGACTAGTGTCTTGTCACTCCATAAAGATGCTGTCCATGCTCAGTAATAGAGAAAAATTTTGAGTAACTGGGTGAATAACATTGCCTTGGGACAATGTTTAACTTCAGGAGTTTCTTTTCTATTTTTATTGGTAGCTCTACCAATGTGTTTACAGAGAAAAACAGTCCCAGAAATCCAGTTATTTTGGTCATGGCATGATGGTGGCTTATATATAGTCAGTGACTCAAAGAAAGCAATTCAGGAAATAAAGCAAATGATGACTGGGACACTTGTCTTGAAATTCATTCTTTGCTGGCACAGATCATTTTAGAATTAGGTCTTTAAGTGAGGACAGTGTATTTGATTGTTAACAATAATAACCAAAGAAAACCCTCATGAAACCTGTTTTCCTAAATTTTTGTGCTGATTTTAAAACACACACAGCATATGTTTATTGAATTTGTTGAAAGGGTACAGAAAAGGAGGTTAGTCTATAATTCTGCAAGATAATGATAGGAAAATTAGGTCATGATCAGGATGATTTCCTATATGTCCTCCACATTGGAAATTAAGAAACACTCTGATGATATTTTTATTATCTTTTTCATTCCATTATTCTCATTCACTGGTTGCAGATGCTATCAGCAAAATCATAGAATGCTAAAATCTCAGAATTGGGAAGGAAAAGGGAGATAGAAATGAAAAGGAAAATAAGCTATTATTTATTGAGCAGCTCCTATGTTCCAGGAAACTTTTACTAATTATATTCACACTATTTTGTGACTGAGGTGTGGAACACTGTACTACCTATTTTATTTTATTGTTTGAGATGGAGTCTCACTCTGTTGCCCAGGTTGGAGTACAGTGGCATGATCTTGGCTCACTGCATCCTCTGCCTCCCAGGTTCAAGCAATTTTCCTGCCTCAGCCTCCCGAGTAGCTAGGATTACAGGTGCCTGACACCATGCCTGGCTAATTTTTGTGTTTTTTTTAGTAGAGACGGGGTTTCACCATGTTGGCCAAGCTGGTCTTGAACTCCTGACCTCAAGTGATCCACCTGCCTCGGCCTCCCAAAGTGCTGGGATTACAGGCATGTGCCCGGCCTGTACTACCTATTTTAAATATTGATGGCCTCCTCCCACCCATGCCCCATTCCTACAGGGGCCCTTAGTGCTTTTCCCATGAGAAGATCTTACAGGTTCTGTCATTGGAGTTAGCCTCAGCTGTGTGATTTGCTTTGGCCAATGCAACATGAGCGTAAATGACTTGTGCCCTTTCTTAGCAAAAGCTTTAAAAGCTATGCTGCTTCTGCTATCACTCTTCTCCATCTGCTATGAGAACAGGAGGGCTCAGATAGGGGCAGCTGATCCTTTAGCCTGCGTTCCAGAATGAAGAACATACCAGGAGCACAGGCACAGCTGATCTGCAGCCAGCATGTATATGCATGAGAAGTAAACCCTTGTAAGTCACTAAGATTTTGGGGTTTGTTATGGTAGCAAAACCTAGTAAAAAGTTGACCAATATGGAAATTGGTACCATAAAAGTGATGTTGCCTAACAACAACAAAAACATCAACAAAATCTAAAATATGGGGCAGTGCCCAAACTAATGAACTTGTGGCTTTATGAGGAAAGTGAGAAATTAGAATGTTGTAGCGTGATTTGGTTGTTATTGGAAATGTTCTAAAAGACTGAGGTTAGCTCAGAAAAGAATTGGCCGATATTCAAGCAGAATTGAAAGGGAATGTAGAGGGTCTATAAATTTCAGGGTTTACATGGTTGGAAGATGCAATTGATTTTCACTTGTAACTCATACATTATAAAGTTAAGTGCATTGGTATGATTCAAGAACTGTGGGTGCCACTTTACATGTATTGTTGATTGGATCAAATGATAAAAAACCACATTTTTGAGAGAGTCCTATAACCAAAAGAGACACTAGCATATGTTAAAGAAACTGAGACTTTTGAGTATTTAAAATGGCCCTAGGGCCCTCCAGTCTTCTACAAGAAATAGCTACCCAGGCTGTAACATGGGCATATTCTCTAATGCCATTTTCAGAGACAGAAAAGAAGAGAGGATTTTCAAGAGGGGACAGCTGTTAAGAATAATGGATTCTCAACTTCAGGTTAAAGGGCTTTTTAAAAAAATCTGTCCAGTAGGATTTCAGGAATTTATGTACCAGTATTAAGTGTGACCTCCTAGTCTTTCCCTTTCCACATAGAAATGCCTGTTTTGATCACACTGTCCCTCTTGCGCCATTGAATGCTTGGTGAGTATGCATGTGTATGTGGGAGGGATGTACTTGTGTGTGTGTAGATAACTTTTCTTCAGGTGCATAGATCTGTATATCATGATCTGTATATCAAGAGGAGCCAGGTGGATCAGATTCAGAAACTATTAACCATCTTGGGCTTTGGGTCTGAAACCATAATTAGCTAGGCATTTGGGAAATATTTTTCCTTGGGGTCTGACAGAGTGTATTTTTAATGCAAAGGGAGGAAAGTGAATATCTGTGATCAGGAAGGCAGATTATGGAAGATTGTATAATTTGTTCAAAGGATTTGCTACCCCCTGCTTGCTGCCTTCTTTCAGAGACCCTTTCTTGTGCTCTTCTATCCTATTCTTTGAACCTATGACTTGCATTGGTCAATGGAACATGAATAGAAGTGACATCAGGTTCTTCCCAGCCGAAACTTTGAGAACCATCGTAGTTTCCAACGCTGTGTTTTCCTCTATTCCAGATAGTGACATATTCTTGTTAGCAGTCTGGAACCTAGAGGGAAGAAGACACATGGAGCAATGTCCCAGCTAGCCTACAGCCAACACACACCATGAGTGAGAAATAAAACTTTACTGTCGTAAGCCACTGAGACTTTGGGGTTGTTTGCTACCACAACATAACTGGATGAAAGTTAACAGATAAGAAGAGTGAGAGTAATATATGTGGCAATTTCAACTGCTAAGAGTGTAAGAAAGCTCTCCTCTAACTACACCCATGCCAACCCTGGCATTCATTCTATTGTTTTTATATTTAACATCTTGATAGGCACACATGTATTTTGTATTTTATCCAGATAGTCTCCATTTCCACAACTATTAGAGAAGCCAAACACTTTTTCACATATTTTCATTTTAATTTTGGGAATTTATTTTCTTTTGTGACTTATGTCAATTTCCTACTTTTATTTCATTACTTGCCTTTGTTAGTAGATTACAAGTGTATTTCAAAAAAAAAATTACTAAGGACATTATCTTTATTTCCCATAGACATTGAAAATAGTTTTTCCTAATTTGTTTGTAATGATAATTTTTGATACACAGAAGTTTAGACATTCCGTGTAGCCAAAAAGTGCATGTACTTGATAGTCCCAGTAAGTATGTGCTTAATAAATCAATGGGCTGGGTGCGGTGACTCACACCTGTAATCCCAGAACTTTGGGAGGCTGAGGCAGGAGGATTGCTTGAGCCCGGGAGTTCAAAACCAGTCTGGGCAACATTGCGAGACCCTGTCTCTACAAAAAAATTTAAAAAATTAAAACATTAGCCGGGTGTGGTGGTGCTTTCCTGTGGTCCGAGCTATGGTTGTTGGGGGACTGTAGTGGAAGGATCACTTGAGTCTGGGTGTCAAGGCTGCAGTGAGCCATGATCATGCCACTGTACTCCAGCCTGGATGACAGAGAAAGACTGTCTCAAAAATATATGAATGAATGAATGAATAAATAAATAGCTTATTTCTTTGCTTTTACATACTGAAAATGTTCCCTTATGCGGACATAAGATATTCATCTATATTTTCTTCTCATTCTATGTTTTGTTTAAATTTCTAGAACGAGAATTTCCACTTGCAGTTGTATGTTAGCATCAGTATAATTTGAGATTTGTGAAAGTATGGCTTTTCATACCTTCTGAGGGTGTGGTTTGGGATTCTATATTTTTATATAGCTTCCTTTTCTTTTTTCCTAGAATATTTGAATGCAGTTAATCTGGAGTTTGGAGATCACTTTTAAACACATTTTAATTTTGATGTAGTCTAATTTATCTATTTTTTCTTTTGTTATGCTTTTAGTGCAGTATCTAAGAAAGCTTTTCCTAACCCAAAATTACAAAGATTTATTCCCATTTTTCTTCTAAGAGTTTTATGGTTTTAGCTCTTATGTTTATGATCCATTTTGAGTTAATTGGTATCAGTTAGGTCTCCATACCAATTATTTTGCATGTGGATATTCAGTTGTCCCAGAATAATTTTTCAAGAACTTTCTTTCCCCATTGAAGTGTCTTGGTATCCTTGTGAAAAATCGATTACCCTGAAATGTGAGGGTTTATTTCTTGACTTCAATTTTATTCTGTTGATCTATATGTCTATCCTTATGCCAGCAACACATAGCCTTGATTAGTATAACTTTGTGTAGTAAGTTTTTAAATCAGGAAGAGTGACTCCTCCAACTTTGTTCTTTTTCAAGATTGTTTTGGTTCTTCTGGGTCCATATGAAGTTTAGGATCAGTTTGTCAATTTCTGCAGAAACCAGCTCTTGATATCTTCTCCTGGCCACCCTGATCACAATGCTTTTGTTTTCCCTGGCCACAGGTACTACCTGACATGTTTTTATCAGCATGAATTATTTCCAAAGTAGATGGTAAGTTTTTCCAGTGTAGTTAGGATATCTTTAAATTCCGTAGTAATATGGAAAACTTAGACATGTAATCTCTTGGAACTTGCTTTCTTGTCTATAAATGAAGGGGTTGGAACAGATCAGCAAGTCCAAGTGCCAGTGTGTGGACTGACTGGTCTGAACTGACCACGTGGTCCTCTTTACTGCCTTCATCTGTGATTATTGGCAATGCTCTTTCCCCTGCTTTTTTCACTGTTCTTCTCCCTGCCTTTGTGCTGGTGTCCCTTGGACTAGGCCTTGTCTCAGGTTTCTTCAGCTCTTTGAAGACAATGATTCAATGAAGAGGTCTCTGTTCAAGAAAGTCCCCTTTCACAATAATTGAGCTTTTTTTTTCTTTTGAAAGTTATTTCCAACCATGGGATCTACTCAATTTCTTACTGTTGCATTGCTTGCAAGCCTGATATGCTTGCTTCTATGAAAATATTCATTAGCCGAGGCTATGTCTGTGCACCATGGATTTTAGTTGCATCATGCATTGCAAGAGTAGAGCAAGTGTCAAGGGATAATAGATATTTTATTTCCCCAGCATCGTGAGCTAGTGTGCATTTTTGATGCTTGGTTGTTTCGGAATCACCGTAGCAGAGTTAAATCTAAGAGGGATTTACCAACTCAGAAGAGAAATCTCTGACTCACGATATGCTCAAAGTCACTTTCACTAGGCTCTAAAAACACCTTTTCAATCTCTTGGTAAGATTAGAATGTGGGAAAAGGTTTGCACCACAGAATCTGGCCTCTACCCAACCTGAAGCATTCCTCTGGCTGTGGACCTCCTGTCTATTGTCACCTCTTACATCTGTGAGAGCAGGGGTGGGATCACTGCCTGGCATCTAATAAAAGCTTAATAAACATTTATTAGATAAGTGAATGATTAATTCTGTGATTGCATCTTACAT
This sequence comes from Homo sapiens, assembly GCF_000001405.40. Lineage (NCBI taxonomy): Eukaryota > Metazoa > Chordata > Mammalia > Primates > Hominidae > Homo > Homo sapiens. The sequence goes on from NC_000010.11 coordinate 80,760,318, forward strand.
TTTACCAAGCACTGTGCTGTGCACATTTCACTTCATCTGCACTACAACCCTGTAAATGCTTAATCTACTAACTGACTTTAATTCTCTTCATCTGGATATCACTTCCACATTCCCTATATTATTCGAATTTCATAATGTGCTATGACAGACATAATTGATTTTACCCCCATTTTACAGATACAGGATATAGAAACCCGGATGATGTTCAGTGTTTTAAATCAGTGTTTCTCCAATTTTAATGTGAGCATCAACCACCTGAGGTTCTGATTCAAAAAGAAATTCTGATTCAGCAGGTCTGGGGTGGGCCTGAGAGTAGCATTTGCAACAAACTCCCAGGTGATGCTGCTGCTGCTGTTCTGCAAATTATACTTCGAGCAGGAAGGCTTTAAATAGAATCTTTTCTTTGCCTTTGTGAAGGTGAGAGGTTAAAAAAAAAATAAGATAAACAGCCCACCTCACCCCCACCAGCTCTGAAGAATCTAAGGAGCCTAAAATCAAACAATCAAACATGATTCACCAGAAAGAAATTCTGATGATGAAGTTTGATAAGTTAGACTTTCTTTGGGTCTGCAATATACCAAGCATACAGCATACTATAGACTAACGAAGTTGAAAGATTCACACTTCTTATTTCAAAACTTACCACAAAGCTACTTTTTAAAATCTAAAAGCAAGACTATATATAGAAAGCATAAGAAGGCCCTTGTGACTGTCTCCAGAAAAGGTTATTTTTAGTGAATATAATGCAGTGATTAATTTTCATAATATGCCTAGATATTTCCTTAGAGAAAAAAGGAACTTGAAAGCTGTAGTTAAGGGTAAAAATTGTTTTCATATTACATGTGGAAACCGAAAACTAACATCACTCTTGGGAAATCTTGATCATCTTCATAGGCTACCTATGAAAACAAGATTGTCCCAAAGCATGAAGATAAAGGCTTGCTATTTATGACTGTGCACTTGATCAGTTACTGGGGCTTTTTATGTGGAACTCAACAGATATTCATCACTGCTGCTGTTTCTCACAATCAGGATTCCTCATCTACCCAGACCAGATAATCTCATATCTCTTCATGTACTAAAGAGCTCCCATCTGACACAGCCTTTTTCCCTTAAAATGTGGAGATGCTTTGGAAAGTTAAGAGCAGAAGGCAGCAAGGAGATGCAGGCAGCAGATATCCCAGCCCTAGGCTGGTGGATTGTAGCAGAAGAAAGAACACTAAGTGAGGGCCATTGCACTTTGTCTATTAGAGAAAGATTTTAAAGCTAAAGGCCATTGGTTTCCTTTTTTTCTCCTCATAACAGTTGTTAGACGTGCTTCGTGGCTAGTGTTTTCCTAGGCATCAATGCTCCAGATTATAGGTATGTACCTCAGTTAAGCAAAATGGGTATTCTTAATTTTTCCTTTCTTTTCTTTTTTTTTTTTTTTAAGACAGGGTCTCACTCTGTTACCCAGGCTGGAGTGCAGTGGCACAATCTGGGCTCACTGCAGCCTTGACCTCCTGCCTCAGCCCCCAAGGTAGCTGGGACTACAGGTGTGCAGTTTTTGCTTTCGTAGAGTCAGGGTTTTGCCATGTGGCCCAGGCTGGTCTCAAACTCCTCAGCTCAGGTGATCTACCTACCTCGGTCTCCCAAAATGCTGGGATTACAGGGGTGCACCACCATGCCCAGCCAAAAGATAGTGGGAACTCTTAAAGAAAACTAGGATTGGAATTTTTTTTTTTTTTTGGAGACAGAGTTTCACTCTGTCACCCAGGCTGGAGTGCAGTGGTGTGGTCTCGGCTCACTGCCAGCTCTGCCTCCTGGGTTCATGCCATTCTCCTGCCTCAGACTCCCGAGTAGCTGGGACTACAGGCACCCACCACCATGCCTGGCTAATTTTTTGTATTTTTAGTAGAGACGGGGTTTCACCGTGTTAGCCAGGATGGTCTGAATCTCCTGACCTCGTGATCTGCCTGCCTCGGCCTCCCAAAGTGCTGGGATTACAGGCGTGAGCCACCGTGCCTGACCAGGATTGGAAAATTTTAAAGAATTATTGGCTAAGAGAATGTCAGAGTGAGGAGAATCTTTAGGAATAAAACTTAAACTTCTAATTCAGGATGGCATATGAATCCCATGAAAGCATTCTTCCTGAATCCCTTTAAATGACATAGAATACAATCAACCCTCAAAAGATGCCGTCCATTCACCAGAATGTTGATGAATTTTTGGATGATAAAGTATAGCCAAGACTACAATGAGTGGACTAACTTGTGAGATGCTGCATACAAAAATAAAGCCCACCTGATAATTAATGGATAGGACTTCTAGTTGAAACTTTCTAATATCAAGCAGAGGGGCTAGAAGGAAGTATAGGATGTGGTGCTGTCTGTTGGTGGCAGTTTCCCATGCTAATAATATCCAAGGTTAACATGTGCTGGTGGAAGTCCATGCCATGGCTGGACTTGATGGTCACTCCCAGGTTATACTTGGCTCAGCTGGGGTTCTTTGTGAGCTGGAAGCCACAGAAGTGGCTAAGGTGGCATTATCCAAGTTGGAGAAGGACATTACTGGTCTTCAGATTGCAACTATAAATAGGAAGTAAACTTTGTGCACAAACATACAGCAAAATGTCACCCAGTTGCCCCTTAGGAAGGCTAGCTCCCTTTTTCCCACAGAAAACTAGACTTCTCATCTGGCAAAATAAAATCACAACTTTTGAGTGTCTAGGTGGAGCTGTGAGAAGGTGACAGAGTGTTTAGGTGGATCTGTTGGACCTCAGAGAAACCTGGGCTGGGGCCAGCAGCATGTGGGTGGTGAATGAAACCATGCTTCTGCGTGAAGTCTTCTGGGGAGAGAATAGGCTTTGAAGAGAAAGGGCTTCCAGCATTGAAAAGGATTTCTCTGAAGTTGGACTGGGAAGGATAAAACCTCAAAGCACCCTGAGAAAGCACCTTCTTTCTCTCTGGAAAATCTAGAGAGAAAGAAGGAAAACCAGGATCATGGGGGTGTTTTGGATGCTCAGACATGAGTGTGGAATTGGCTGACATGATTTTGGAGAGTGGCAAGTCCAAAATCTGCAGGATAGGCACAACTGGAAGGCTGGAGACCCAGGGAAAAGCTAGTGTTGCCGCTCAAGTCTGAAGGCAATCTTCTGGCAAAATTCTCTCTTTCTCTAGGGATTCAGTCTTTTCTCTAAGACCTTCATCTGGTTGGATGAGACCCACCCACATTATGTCATGCAATCTGCTTTACTGAAAGTCTGATTGCAAACGTTAATCTCATATAAAGAATATCTTCACAGCAACATCCAGATGTGTTTGACCAGATATGTAGATACCATAGTCTAGCCAAATTGGCACATAAAAGTAACCATCACAATGGTTCAGGTTGGATGAGGGTGGACAAGTTCTGAAGTGTTCATAGAAGAGGGTCAGATGTTGGATCAGGGCAGTATAGTCAGAAAGCCCTGAGTGCCATAAGCTCATCGAAGGGAAGCAATCCCAGATTTATGACATTTCCTATTTGTCCTGTTGTCTGGGTTCTCTGACAGCAATTAACTGCTTGGGTGCTGGGTTAGAAAAAAGGGTCATCATTAAAATAAAATTTTTATGCTTTATTTTTTTGGAAGGAGTTTATCTTTTAAAAGGTGTGTAATTGTGAGTGTGCATGTGTCTTTACTCATCTGAAAGTCTTTCTTTCCATGCTGATTACCACAGGTCACACATCTAGTTTCTGCTGTGTTGTTTTCTTGCTACTTTGCTCCCACTTAATTTTTCCTTCATTGGCTTATCCAACTACTCCTTGCATATCTTAAAGCACATGGAAGAGGTATTGCTATAAAATCATAAATATCTGAAATAAAGCCCATATTTACTTCCTGCACAAAATGAACACAAAATATCTGCTCCTTTTTCCACATTTAATTGTGTAAACCTTTTGCGGGCAGGCAGGGCGGCTTCTCAGGGTTAAAGATGGTTCCTAAGGTTAGCTTTTCAATAACTGACCGGGAAATCAAATCCAAGGATCCCAGCTTCAAATCTTCATTTATCACACTGATTCTTTAAGTCTTATTTAAAAAATTAAACACTCTAAGTTCATTGTCCTAGGGATTTAAAGGTATAAGAATTAGAAAGAAAGGAAGTTGGCCAGGCGCGGTGGCTCACACCTGTAATCCCAGCACTTTGGGAGGCTGAGGCCGGCAGATCATGAGGTCAGGAGATCAAGACCATCCTGGCTAACACGGTGAAACCCCGTCTCTACTAAAAATACAAAAAAATTACAAAAAAATTACAAAAAAAATACAAAAAAATTTCAAGTGTCCCCCTCCTGTGTCTCCCCGTGCACTCCCATCTACTGCACTAGAGAAGTTGATCTCTTGGCCCATGGTGCACCTGAGTCTTTGCACCTCCACAAATGTGATCGGACTCTGTCCCTTGTGAGTTCATTTACACTGCCCCAGTTGTCAACATATTCAGCAGGAGATCTTCGAGGTGTATGCCACGTGGGCAGAGCCCTTTCCTAATTTTGAGTACTGGTACGGATTCTTCTAACTTCTTGGTGTGTTTGGTCCTAGCATTCATCTTGTGTTGCAGAGGGAGTTGGATTGTCACCATTCCTTTAAGTCACATCAGCCTGTTTTGGTCTCATCCATCTCATGGTATTGTGATTATTTGCTTACTTGTGATCCTGCTGGCAGAGACCCAATCTTGTGCATATATGACCCTTCAGTATAAATCCATCAAAACATGTATGAGACTTGTATGCTGAAAACTACAAAACCCACTTTTGTTTTATTCCTTGTCTCTATTTTCTTTGTTTTCTGTGTCATTGATTTCTGTTCTTTATTATTTTATTCCCTCTGCTTGGTTGCATTTGTTTTGCTCTTTTTTTATAGGTTCTTGGGATGGGAACTTAGATGATTAATCTGAGATTTTCTTTTTAAAAGTTGTATGCATTTAGTGCTACAAATTTTCCCCTTGGCACTGCTGTAGCTATGTCCCACAAATTTGCATATGCTGTATTTTAAATTTATTTCAGTACAATGTATTTTATTTATTTATTTGTTTTTAGATGGAGTCGTGCTCTGTCACCCAGGCTGGAGTGCAGTGGCACAATGTCAGTCCACTGCCGCCTCCACCTTCTGGGTTCAAGCGATTTTCCTGCCTCAGCCTCCTGGGTAGCTGGGATTACAGGCGCCCACCACCATGGCTGGCTAATTTTTGTATTTTTAGTAGAGACAGGGTTTCACCATGTTGGCCAGGCTGTTATTGAACTCCTGACCTCAGGCAATCTGCCCACCTCAGCCTCCCAAAGTGCTGGGATCACAGGCATGAGCCACCATGCCTGGTTAGTACAATGCACTTTTAAAATGTCCCTGTGACTCTTAGAAGTGTATTGTTTAGTTTCTAGGTGTTTGGAGATTTTTCTGTTCTTTCAGTTATTGACTTCCAGTTTGATTCCACTACTGTTGGAGAATGCCTTTTGTATGATTTCCATTCTTTTACATTTGTTGAGGTTTCATGGCTCATATGATATATCTTGGTTTATGTTTCGTAGGCACTTGAAAACATTGTGCATTCTGCTGTTCTGTGGTACTGTGTGCTATAATTGTTGAGTAGACCCTGTTGGTTGATGGTGGTTGTTGAGTTCCTTTATATCCTTGCTGGTTTTTTTGTCTAGCTGTCCTCTCAATTGTTGAAAAAGGTGTGTTGAAGTCTCCAACCTTAATTCTGAGTTTGTCTATTCTCCTTTCAGTTTTGTCAGTTTTTATTTACTTCATCTATTGCTCTGACTTTTGGTGCATACATATTAAGGATTGCAATGTATTCTTCATGGATTGACCCTTTTATCATCATATAACGTTGCTTATTTTCTCTGGTCATTTTCTTTGGTCTGAAGTTTACCTTATCTGATATTAATATAGCCACATCTGCCTTCTTTTGATTAGGATCTGCAGAATATATTATCCCTCCCCAATCCCTTTTCTTTCAATGTTCCTATATTATTATATATGAAGCGAGTTTCTTATATGCAGCATATAGATGGGTCATATTTTTAAATCTCTTCTGCCTATCCGTATATTTTAATTTGTGTATTTAGACCATTTACATTTCATGGAATTATTGGTCTGCTAGGGTTTAAGTATCCCATGTTATTTTTTGTTTTTATTTGTTCACTTTGTTGTTTTTATTTTTCTGTTTTCCTTTTCCCGACTTTCTGTGGGTTACTTGAACATTTTTAGAATTCCCTTTTTATGTATGTGTAGTATTTAAATATACTTATGTAGCTTTTTTAGTGGTTACTCTAGGTATTTTGTTATATATATGCATAAATTATTACAGTGTACTGATGCCATTATTTTACCAGTTCAAATGATTGTTGAAATCTTACCTCCTTTATCATCATTTTATTCTTCCCTGTCTATAATTATCTTAACTATTTCCTCTATATATGTTTAGAATCACATGATCTAGTAGTATAATTTTTGCTTCTATTATCAAACATAATTTAGAAAACTCAAAGAGAAGAAATGTCTGTTGTGTTTACCCATTTATTTTCTTATTAACTTCTTTCTTCCTGAAGTGCCAAGTTGCCTTCTTTTAATATTTCTTTTCTATTTAGATAACTTAATTTAGCCATTCTTTTGGGGCAGGTCTGCTACTGAGAAATTTTCTTAGTATTCCTTCTTCTGAGAATGGCTTGATTCTCCTTCATTCCTGAAATCAATTTTCACTGGAGACAGAATTCTGGGCTGATGATTCTTTATTCTCAGCAATATTAAATACTGTGCCCCTTCCTTTTGGCATCCGTGGTTTCTCAGGAGAAATCTGCTCTCTTTGAAATTGTTTTCCCCTTTAGGTAAAGTGTTGTTTCTCTCACTGCTCTTTTTTCTCTGTCTTCTGAAGTTTGACTATCTGTATCTTGATGGAGATTTGCTAGATTTATTCTCTTTGGGATACATTTAACTTCTTTAAATCTGTATGTTTATGTCTTTTGCCAAATATGGGAAGTTTTTAGCCAAAAGACAATAAAAATTTTCTACTCTTTAATTCAGCAATATTTCTTTCAGAATTTCATTCTGAGAAATTGATTGCTAATGTGTAAAAATTTGTTTATAGATGTAAACACTTACCATTATTTTTATACTGTCAGGAAACTGGAAAATTGTAAATGGTCCAAAACAATGGATTGGATAATGAGTCATTGCTCATTAATTAACTTTTACTTTCTAACGATTGTATAAATCATTAACTGGGATGTAGAATAATAATAATAAATAATGACATACAAATGATCAAAATATTTGGAATTTTAGCCCTACTAATATCTAGTAATTTTCAGTAATACTATGTGTATTTTCAGCCAATAACTTATTTATAATTCAGTTTTCTTATCTGTAAGATGGGGATGATGATAGAACTACTTCATAAGATTTTTGTGAGAAATTAGTGAGTTAATACACATCAAGAACTTTGAACAGTGCCTGGCACAGAGTAAATGACATACAAAGGTCAACTATTATTGCAATTACCATTATTACTGAAAAGTACTGAAAGTTGCATATCAAGCTGTTTACAATAGTTAGAATGATTTAGAGTTACGATTTCAAGGTGTTTCTTTTTGTGCTTATGTTTTTTAAGGTTTTCAAACAATATTAATAAAAGATTTTCAAGTAAAACATGCATAATAAACCAAAATTTAAGAGAAATATTGATAGATAGCATAAAATTGTGTATATATGTATATATATATATATATATATATATGCATGTAAGTTGGCAAAATGAGACAAAATCCTAGTTACACGTGAACACCAATGGCTGACTCAGCAATCTTTATCATGCTTCCCTAGCCCCACCTATTTTTTTGGATGAATGTTTGTGCATAGTTATAGACAGTGTGCATATTCATGCTGCCTTTTCATAGAATGCAATACATATTTTAATGTGAGAAAGCATACACATGCTATTTTACATTATAAAATAGTAATTTATAAAGTGGATGTAACCTACATAGCACAAATCACATGGATATGCTCCTATTACTGTAATCTTTGAATACTTCCAACTTGAGCTACTATAATTATCTTATCCTTTTAGCTCTTTTTGTATTTTATATTACTACAAAAATGGGAAGTAGCCTAACTGTAACACTTAAAAACATAGCTGTGAAATTTATTGCCAATTTTGTTTTCCCGGAAGTCTCTACCAGTGTATACTGCCTGTAGAAAAAGTAGAAGACTACTGGTTTTCACATCTGCTAATGGTTTTGTCACATCTGCTAAGAGAATTGAACATCTTTTCTTAATCTTTTGCTAATTATTAGAAGAAAACCAGGAGCTTGCTATTTACATTTCTTTGTTTCTCGTAAGGCTGAACTTTTTCCCAACATGTTAGTTACAGGTTGTATTTTCTCTTTTGTAAATCTCCTGCTGATACCCATTTACCTTAATGTTTTTCATATCTATTGGCGCACACTCTTTGTTTAATAAGGTTATTTACCCTTGTCACATATCCTGCAAACATTATTTCAGTTTGCTGTTTGTGTTTATATTTTAGTTACTTTTTATGTTCAGAGGTTTTAATTTTTTTGTAGTCAAATCCTTCAATATTGTCCTTTGTAACACAGAAAACACAAGAACTGTATTACTGCTAGGTTGAGAAAATAATCTTTCTTTCAGGGCTTAAAAAAATTTGTCATTCTGTTTTCTTGTTTTTCATTGATTTTTTTGAGAAAATATTGAACTCTTTAATCTATTTGAAATTTACCTTGATGAACTGAGAGAGGTGATGGGCAGTCCCACTCCACTCTGACCTACCCAGACCTTCCTTAGAGTGCTATTTTTATTCCATTCTAGATTTACTAGCCCACATTTGGAGGAAAATGCCTAGGATGACAAAAAGGAATGCAGCCCATGTGTTATGAGAAATGGCCTGAAGACCATAAGTTGAATGGCAGCTGTTTAAAACCCTTATGATATTTGTCAGCATGTGCAGTAGTTAAGAAGCTCTGGGGGGCACAGGGACCTGGATTCAGGTCCCAGCCTCACCACTTACGGGTATGTGTTTTCTGTTTTGTAACTCTGCTGCTCCTTAAAAACATTCAGAGAAATGGGTAACAGCAGCAGATTTACAAACGAAAAAATACATAGGATAAGATGCAGATCCATGTTAAGCTTCAATTTCTTCATCTGTTAAATGAGAATAATAATACCCACCTCATGGTTATTATATGAAGATTAAATGGGAAAATACAGGTAAGCATTTAGGAAGACACATGGTTCAGAGAAGGCACTCAATAAATACTGGTTGTCAGTGTCATTAATTTTGGTGTTTATTTTGTTTTGTGCTAGCCCAAAGAGTAAAGGATGCAGAATGACAAATTCTAGCCTCTGTGAGGCAGGATTTGCTGATTTGCTGCGTTGTTTAAGGAGATAATGGCTCTTTTTCATGGGACAGTTTCAGGCAATGGCTGGGACAGGGCTGAGGCTTTCTGCGAATGGCTGGGCCACATGTTTTTCACAACCCCCCATGCTGTCACACTCTGAGCCCTGTGGAAGTTTGTGAAAGACTTGCTTCTTCCTGTCCCTGCCTTCCCTTGGCAGATTAGCTCAGAGATATAAATGAAATTGAGGCTTAGAACAGCCAGTGCAGAGTATTAAATGCTAATTAGCTTGTCAACACCACAGATGATTTTGAAGAGAGGGAGATATGATGCAACATACACTTTGGGAGGAAATGCATAGGAGATTGCCTGGGAGGGTGGAGATTTGAGGCAGAGAGAGATTTAAAGGAGGTTTGTCCACTGGGAGAGATGGGAAGCCCTCAATATTGGGGGTGGGTATTGGTTGGTGGGGGTGCAAAGAGAGGAAGGGCAGAGTTGGTGACTTGGGTCAGATTCAAGACACAATGAAGAGGAGAGCTGACAGGATTTGACCACTTTTACCTCTGTGTTGTCAAAGAGAAACAAAGCTGGACATTAGTTAAAAGTGATAAAAACTACTTTATTCAGTAAAACTGACAATAGCGGGAAGAGCTGAGCTCTGTTCAAATTTGTACAGAGGCGACTGGGCTATTTAAAGGGAGAATGAGGGAACAGGGAGTGGGAGCAAGCAAGGGCTCAGTAGTGTCAGGGAAGTGAAAAAAAAGGGCTAAGAGGGTTAGTCAGTGTAAATATGATGAGGCCAGCTGTGTTTGCTTGCTGGAAATTACTGAAGTTAGGATTCTATCCTCCTCCAGAGACTGGGGGACAGAAGCTCCATTTTTCTTGATAATTACATTTCAAAGAAATAGTTTTCAGGTCCTTGAGAAGGACACACTTAAGTTACAGGAGATACAGATGCTCTTCAACTTACTTTGGTGTTTTGTCTCAATAAACCCATTGTAAATTGAAAATATTATAAGTCAAAAATACACTTAATACACCTTACAAAACATCATAGCTTAGCCCAATCAACCTTAAGTGTGCTCAGAAGACTTACATTAGCCTACCATTGGGTGAAATCATCTAACACAAGGCCTATTTTATAATAAAGTGTTGAATATCTCACGTAATTTATTGAATGCTGTACTGAAAGTGAAGAACAGAATGGTTGCACCATTCTGAAGTACAGTTTCTCTGAATGTGTATCACCTTCACACCATTGCCAAGCCAAAAAATCACAGATTGAACCATCGTAGGTCGCGGACCATCTGTATCTCAAAGGGACAGAGGGAGGATTTACAATTGTAAGCTATTTTTTTTTAGTAAATGCTCCAGTAAAGTGGGAGTATCAGTGGCCTATCATCAGGTGTTGGCTAGATCAAAAGGTAAATTCTTTTGACAGCCTTGAGCAAGTCTTCAGATAGGAACTCAAAGCAGTGCTGGGTCGACCTAGGGATTGGCTTAGGCAAGCAGAAGCCAAGCCAGCATTGTTGGCCAAGTCTCAGTGCAGGGGTGGGAGCCCTCAGCTCTCTGTGCAGGGCATAGGACATTACAGAGAGGTAAAGAATTGGAGTGCTGGATGCTATTCCTTGTTCTGCAATTCATGAATAGGAAAAACATTGCTTCTCTTTTATTGTGGTGATCAAAAGGGATAATATATGTAAAATTACTTGGACAATAGAAATATTTTTAATACTGAGAACCATAGTTGGAGAACTTGGCTCCCTCTCCTGTCATGAATTAATGTAGCAGCATAAATGGCCAGATCCTTCTAGGGAGGAACCCTGAAGGCGAGACTGCCAGACCTCCTTTTTCATTCCCTTTGTAAAGTGCTTGCTTACAACTGATGCTTCATGCTTGTTTCCTTGTTTTTTTTGTTTTTTTCTTTTCTCTTTGGACTTGCTTTTTCTGCTTAAGGCACTGCAACCCAAAATCCATTGCCAGCAGGGAAAATGCTTTAAAAGGAATGCTAAGTATGTTCAAAGTGTGACAAAGATTATTTTTTGATTTTAAAGGCTTTTTGGGTATTATTATATTAAAAAAGAAAGATGGAATTTGATAATTCTTACTACTTTTCTGCCCTGTATCCATGAGATATGTTACTTGGAAAATATTCAGTCCTCTGAAAAAGGCTGTGACATCATTTCTTACTTTATAGGACTGATGGAAATATTCAAATGACGTACTAGTTTATCAACTTGAAACCTTAATTAACGTAAAACACTTTTTGAATTTGGTTGAAAACACTAGGTAAAGTTTCCTTTTTACCTTATGTGTACTTAATCTCTCCCCAGCGCGGTAGTTGCTAAAGCGTCTTGCAGGGAGTGCTAAGGAATAATGTCTTGTTATTATAATGCTTTCATCTTTTCAAAGTGCCTTTCGTTATCTCATTTGATCCTCACAACCAACTGTGGAACTTGTTAGGGCGAGGGCTAGCATGCCAGATGCACGGATGAGGAAACTGAAGCCCAGGAATGCGTGACTGAGTGGTGGAGATAAAGACAGGGGCTGGATCTCCTGTCTGTTAATTGGAGGTGCCACAAAGTACCGCAGACCTGGTCCCACAGCTAGCAGTTTTTGAATAGACCATGGCAGGGATGGAGCATTGTACATCTAGTAGGAATTCATAATTAAGCTCTACATGTCCAGTCAAATGCTTGGGGAAGCCTTATTTTGGGGTTAAATTGAGATTACTGTTCAATGTGTTGTTGAATATCCCATATAGAAAAATTTTGGAAGGTTTAAAACTAAGAACAGTTTCTTTTGATATCAGGATGTTTCATTTTTTCAAAAAAATAGTCTATTAAAATATTTAAATACCATATGATTTACACACTAAAAGTGTACAATTTATTTTTTTTTACTATATTCACATATATGTACAACTATCACCACAGTGCCCTTTTTTTAAAAATATATATATATATTTTTAGAGACAAGGTTCTGCTTTGTCACCCAGGCTGGAGTGCAGTGATACGATCATGGCTCACCGCAGCCTCAACCTCCCAGGCTCAAGCAATCCTCCCACCTCAGCCCATCACCCCAACCCCAACCAAGTAGCTGGGACCACAGGCACGCACCACTATGACTGAGTAATGTTTAAATTTTTCATAGAGATGGGGTCTTGCCATGTTGCCAGGCTTGTCTCAAACTCCTGTCATCAAGCAATCCTCCTTCCTTGGCCTCCCAAGGCACTGGGATTACAGGCATGAACCACTGTGCCCAGCCTCACAGAACACTTTAGAATACTTTCATCATGTCAAAAAGAAACTCTCTACCCTTTAGTTATCACCCTTGTATTCCCCATCTACCCCAACACTAAGCTAGAACTAATCTACTTTATGTGTTTGTAGATTTCCCTGTACTAGATTTTCATAGGAATGAAATTGTATAATATGTGGACTTTAGTGAGGGGATTCTTTCACTTAGCATAATGTTTACAAGGTTCATCTAAGATGTAACATGTGTCAGTGTTTCCTTCCTTTTTATGGCTGAATAATATTCTAGTGTATGGTATATCTTTATTAGTTGGTGGACATTTGGGTTGGTTCTACCTTTTGGCTATTGTGAATAATACTGCTTTTCATATTTCTGTACACAGTTTTGTGTGCACATATGTTCTCATTTCTCTTGGCTAAATACTTTGGAGTGAAATTACTGGGTCATATAACAACTTTATGTTTGAGGAGCTGCTAGATTGTTTTCCAAAGTGTCTTCACCATTTTACATCCCCACTAGCAGTGTGTAAGTGTTCCCATTTCTCAACATTCTTGCAAGCACTTGTTATCATATAACATTTTGATTGAGCCATCCTAGGAGTTATGAAGTCGTATCTCATGGTGGTTTTAACTTTTACTTCCTTGAGGACTGATGTGAGCATCTTTTCATGTGCTTATTGGTTATTTGTATATCTTCTCTGAAAAAAAAAGTCTAGTCAGATCCTTTGCCCATTATTTAGCTAGACTGTTTGCTTTTGAGATGTGAGAGTTTAAAGAATGTATTCCAGAGATAAGTCTCTTAGACATGTGATTTGCAAATATTTTCTCCCATTCTGTGGGTTTTCGTGTGGTGTCCTTTGAAGCACATGGTTTAAAATTTTGTGGAAAGCTACTTTACTTCCTTTTGTTGCTCATGCTTTGGATGCCATATGTAAAAATCCATTGCCAAGCCCAAGGTCATGAAGACATACAATTTACTCCTGTGTTTTCCCCTAAGAGTTTTATAGTTTGAACTCTTACATTTAAATGTTTGATCCATTTTGAGTTAATACTGTATATGGTGTGAAGGAAGAGCCCAGGTTAATTTTTGTGTATGTGAATATCCATTTGTCCCAGCACTATGTGTTGAAAAGTCTATTCTTTCCTCTTTGAATGGTTTTAGCACTCTTGTTGAAATCAGTTGACTATAGATGTATGGTTTTATTTCTGGACTGACAGTTCTATTCCTTTGATTCATGTCTATCTTTATGCCAGTACCACAATATCTTGATTACCATTCTTTTGTAGAAAGTTTTGCCTGTAATCCCAGCACTTTGGGAGGCTGAGGTGGGTGGATGACAAGGTCAAGAGATCGAGACCATCCTGGCCAAGATGGTAAACCCCGTCTCTACTAAAAACACAAAAATTGGCCAGGCGCAGTGGCTCACGCCTGTAATCCCAGCACTTTGGGAGGCTGAGGTGGGCGGATCACCTGAGGTTGGGAGTTTGAGACCAGCCTGACCAACATGGAGAAACCCCATCTCTACTAAAAATACAAAATTAGTCAGGTGTGATGGTGCATGCCTGTAATCCCAGCTACTCGGGAGGCTGAGGCAGGAGAATCACTTGAACCGGGGAGGCGGAGATTGCAGTGAGCCAAGATCACACCATTGCACTCCAGCCTGTGCAACAAGAGCAAAACTCCATCTAAAAAACAAAACAAAACAAAACCCACAAAAATTAACTGGGCATGGTGGTGCATACCTGCAGTCGCAGCTACTCGGGAGGCTGAGGCAGGAGAATCGCTTGAACCTGGGAGGCAGAGGTTGCAGTGAGCCGAGATCGCGCCACTGTACTCCAGCCTGGCGACAGAGCAAGATTCTGACTCAAAAAAAAAAAAAAAAAGAAAAAGAAAAAAGTTTGAAATCAGAAAGTATGAATCCTTTTTTTTTTTTATTTTCAGGACTATTTAACTATTCTTGGTTCCTTAAGTTCTATATGAATTTGATAATCAGCTAACTAATCTCCACAAAGAATTCAGTTGGGATTCTGGTAGTGATTACACTGAATCTCTGTATCAATTTAGGGAGTATTGGCATCATGTTGTCTTCTGATGCATGAAGATGTGATGTTTTTCCACTTATTTAATGTCAGTAATGTTTTGTAGTCTTCAGAGTTTTGAACTTCTTTTGTTAAATTTATTTCGAAGTATTTTATTCTTATTGATGTTATTTTGAATGGAATTGTTTTCTTAATTTCATTTTTAGGTTGCTCATTTGCAAATGTACAAAATACAATTGTATAATTGATTTCTGTATATTGATCTTATATCTTGCAACCTTGCTAAACTTGTTTATTATAGTATTTTTTTAATGGATTCCTTAGCATTTTCTATTTATAACATCAGATAATGTCATCTGAGAGCAGAGATAGTTTTACTTCTTCCTTTCATACCTGGATGTCTTTTCTTTTTCTTTCCTAATTGGCCTGACTAGAACCTCTAGTACAATGTTGAACAGAAGTAGTAAGAGCAGACATCCTTGTCTTGTTCCTGCTCTTAGAGGGGAAAACATCCAGTTTTTCATCAGTGAACATGATGTTAACTACTGGTTTTTCAGAAGCCCTTCATTATGTTGAGACAATTCCCTTCTATTCCTAGTTTATTAGTTTTTATTATGAATGGGCATCAGATATTGTCAAATCTTTTTTTTCATTTATTGGAATGATTAGATAATTTTATTTTTTATTGTATTGATATAATGTATTAAATTAATTTTCAGATGTTGAATCAACCTTGCATTCCTGGGATAAATTCCACATGGTAATGGAATATAATCCTTTTAATATGCTTCTGGATCTGATTTATTAGTATTTTGTTGGGACATTTTACATCTATATTTATAAGAGATATTAGTCTATAGTTTTCTTGTCATTTTTTTCCACCTGGTTTTGGTATCAGGTTAATACTGGCCTCATAAAATAATCTGGGAAGTGCTCTCTGCTGCTTTTTGGAAGAGTTTGTGAAAAATTAGTATAAATTCTTCTGTAAATATTTGGCAGAATTCGCCAGTGAAGCCGTATGGGTTTGGGCTTTTCTTTGTGGATAGGTTTTTTGTTGTTGTTTTGTTTTTGACTTTACTAAACATGAAAGCACACATGAATGTTTTCTGTGGAGTAGGACTAAAGGACATCAGGGGAGGAGAAAGGGATACTTGGGAAGAGAATCACACAACAAGGACCTATCTTCACAAAAAGGGCTCAATATTGATTTCCAGGGAGGAACAGGGAATGGTCAGCTCAAATTTGGTGATAACATCAGGATGAAGGACTCCAAGCTTCCTGACATTTTGACTCCTGGCAAAGATCTCTGTGCATTGCCCAGGGAAGAAAGCGGTTCCTTTTGATGATTTGATCACATATCCCCCTTTATTTTCAACAGGAGGTACATTGCACAGCTGTGTAATTCCGTCCAGATGCATATGGATGACCTTAAACCCAGGATTCTTGTCGTAATAAACAGCAAAGAGATGCCCATAGTTTTTTGTACCTACATCTCTGCTAGAATCTTTTATTACAATGTTAGAGATTTCAAATAGTTTTAGAGGAAGGAGCATCTTCTGATTTGTTTCTATGGTCTTCAGAGCACCAAGAAGGGTAATGAATGCTGCGCGTAATTGAGCTGTTTTAGTTTTACTTATGTGGACTGCTTTTGTTGCAGAGATAATCCAAAACAAGTTTATCAGAAATATCCTCTTGGAGCAGAGAGCAAAGATGAGTGCTTCAGTGAATCCATGTCTACCATGGATTCAGCTACCATGTCATGTCTGATAAATTTTTTGAGCTTATTAAGAGGAAATTGATTAGCTGTGGTGTTTATGGGAGAGTCATCTGAATATTGTTATATCCATAAGCAATAGCTGCATCTTCTACAATATCACATGCATGGATAATGTCAGCTGTGGTCAGAGGGATTTTATTCTCAGTGTGATTCCCATTGCCGATGACTTTGGACTTCAAATACATCCTGGTCAGAAGCTAGGCAAGATTTTCTGGAGTTTCTCTGATTTCTTTTTTTTTTTTTTTTTGTTAACGAAATCAGCTTTCACTATATCTTTTTGAACAATTTTTAATTAAAAATATTTTTATAAAGATGGGATCTCACTATGTTGCCCAGGCTGGTCTTGAACCCCTGGACTCAAGCGATCTTCCCACCTCAGCTTCCCAAAGTGCTGGGATTACAGGTGTGAGCTACCATGCCCAGCCTCACTATCTCCTTTTGGTAAGCTAGTTTTGGAAAAGTATATGCTTTTCCATTAGGAAAATTACCTCAGTTGCTTCGATTGTAAATTGGTTCTCAATATAGTCACTGAAAATGGTGTCAAGATAATATCAAGAACTCTTTTTGCCTTAGTAAAGTCACTTCCTGTGCATTTGATAAATACCTTTCTAGTATTTAATTTTGGAGTCATCCTCATTGGTGATGGAAGGCATTGAAAGGACGACACCCTTGCTATCATAGATAACTGGGTACAGGGGTTTATTTCCAATGACATGTTAATAGTGTTTAAGGTGGTTGTCAGTCTTGTACATGTTCATCGGCTCACAGACTGTATACTCCTTGGCCTTATTTAGGGCTTGCACTTGATATCTAAAGGACACTTTGCACAGTACAAGTAAATGGGTGACAAAGTGTCCAATGGGTTCCAGTAGCAACCAATGCTCTTTTCCAGCAAATATCCTGATGCAATTTCTCCTGATGTTCAATGAAGCTGTCATATTGATCTTTAGTAAGCTTTAGATTTTGGAGAACTGCTGCTACTGTAAAGGGCATACCTTAACTATCTTTTCTGTGATAATCAATTTCTGGATTTTTCCATTAGGCATTACCTGTTTATATGCCAGAGCCTTTATCCTTTCTTTGAAGACCTGAAGTCCTCAAATCAATCCTTCCAGATACATGAAGTCATATCTATTGACAGAGATGTCAATTTTGCAAAGAACATTAGAAGTCCCTTCTGCCTTTACATTATCTTGTTCATTACTTATTTCCTTCTCAAAAGTAATGTCATCAACTTCCAGACCAAATTGAAAACATAGTTCATCAAATTCTTCATCAGTGTAGGCCTGGCCCAGGGTTTGGAAGAACAGAAGGTGCTTCTTTGTGGGTAGTTTTTTGATTACTGATTCAATCTCTTTACTTATTACAAGTCTATTTATATAATCTCTTTCTTCTTGAGTCAGTTTCAGTAGTTTGCATCTTTTAAAATATCTGTCCATCTCATCTAATTTATCTGATTTGTTGGCATACATTGTTCATAGTATTCCTTTATAGTCTTTTTTATTTCTGTTAGGTCATTTAATGTCCCTCTTTTGTTTTTGTTGTTATTAATTTGAGTCTTTTCTTTTTCCCTTGGCCAATCTAGCTTAAGTTTGCTATTTTTGTTGATCTTTTCAAGGAATTGGCTTTTGTTTTCATTGATTTTCTCTGTTGTTTTCCAATTCTCTGTTTCATTAACTTCTGCTCTAATCTTTGTTTCCTTCAATCTGCCTGCTTAAACTTACTTTGCTCTTCTTTTTCCAGTATCTTACATTGGAAAGTTAGGTTATCGATTTGGGATCTTCTTCTTCTTTTTTTTTTTTTTTTCTTAATTTAGGCACAGACTTGCCTTTGTTACAGAATTTCCTTAGGTTTTCTTGAATAGATGTGTTTTCATTTGCTGCTTGCTATCAGGCCCACTTCCAGGGGCTTCAAATTCTGTGTGTGTATACAATTTCAATAGTTTCACTAAGGAACAGGTCAGCTGAGCTCCTCATGTGGTCATGCCAGAAGTTGATCTCATGCTCCCTTTTTGTTAGAGGACTTTAGGGGAGATAGAGTGTTGACTTTGTGGACACTACCAGAGGTAGGACAGAGTCAAAGGAGAGTGTACTTGAAGGAAGGTAGGCAGTAGATGTGAAGACCCGGGGCACTGGACATGAAGGAGGGGTAAACATTTTCAGTGCAAATCTGAAGGTGGAATTTGGAATAATGGATGTAGGTTTAAGCTAAACATCAGGATGAACTTTTCAAAAACTGGAATTCTGTCAGTGCATAAAACTGTCCCATGTTTGGGCACCTGTATGCTCTCGGAGATCATCCACATTGTCAAGGACACTGTGGAAAAGATTTTCTCACTGGTGGTATGATGGATGATGTGACCTCATTTTCTTGCAAGCAAAAGTTTCAGAGATCATTGCATGACAGGGTCTCATAGATGGCTTTGGGGACAAGGGTTTGCATTTAGCAAGGATCACAGCACACCATGTTTTATGAGAAAGAGCACATCTCTTTCTAATAAGTATAAAACACATCCCCAGATATATACATCTGTGTGTACAATTTATTTTTTGCTATTTTATTTTCAAGTAAAGAAGCCAAGGTATCTTCCAAAAACAATTAGAGTTGATACAGTAAGATTTTTTTCCCTTGATACGTATTTTTAAAATATATTTTTCTTTTGAGAGAAGTACTATAGGAGCTTTTTGAAATTTGAGTGTTCCTAGGTGTGTTAGTATACTAGTGCTGCCATAACAAAATACTACAGGCTGGGTGGCTTAGAGAACAGAAATTTATTTCTCACAGTTCTGGAGTCTAAATGTCAAAAATCAAGATATCCATAGCTGTGGTTTCTTTTGAGGCCTCTCTCCTTGGCTTGCAGCTGGTCGTCTTCTCACTGTGTTCTCACAGGGTTGCCCCTTGGTCTGTATGTTGTCTGTGACTTAACCTCCTCCTTTTATGACACCAGTCACACTGGATTGGGGCCCACCCATCTGACCTCATTTTATCTTAATCACTTCTTTAAAGGTCTTTGTCTCAAAATATAGTTACATTTTGAGGTACTAAGGATGTGGACTTCAACAGATGAATTTTGGGGAGACACAATTCAGCTCTCAACACTAGCTTTTGCTTCCCCCTCCAATGCTGTTTCTGTTCATAGTTTTCCTTGAGTAGTGATCAGCTAGAGGGTACAGAAAACTCTGAATTTAGAGAAATTCATGCTGTCACTACTTAACTATTGCCTACCTTGGGTCATAATAGATTTGGCTTTTGATTGTCAGATTGCTGGCACCAGCAAAGTCCCATGCCTGGCAGCTCATGGTTATTTCTGCAGAGAAATTAGCTGGAAGGAACAGATGCAGGATGTCCTTCCAGAAATCATTGTCAGCCCAGTTGCACCCAAGTGAGTTGAGACACAGTAGCCTTGCAGATATAATAGCCTTTCAACAGATCTTCCAGGGAAAACAATAGCACATTCACGTTTGTATTAAAGATCAAGAACACCTCTGATTGCTTTTTTGCTTTTTTTTTTCTTGTGAAGCTAATTATGCTTCTGCAAATCTAACTGCTTTGTTGAGTCCTGCAACACATATTACCAGCTAATACATAATGCATCCTACTGAAGCCAAGTACGTGGATGATGTGGAGACCCTTATATCTATCCTACAATTTTACTGTAGACTCACTCCTTTGCCAGTTCATTTTATGAGGCAAAGTTTTGAATGAATAAAATGATATAACTGTATATATTCTTTCATAAGATATTCTCACATATTTTTTCATGAGAATCTTACATATTCTTTCACTCATGCTATCATAAGTGTGTTTTTTTCTCTCCTGTTCACAAAACACAGTTGTCATTTCAGCTAAAATGAGTCAACTCAAAATTTATTTTCTAATTACAAATTTAATTGTCAGAAAAGATAGAAAAGGACCAGGTGCAGTGGCTCATGCCTGTAATCCCAGCACTCTGGGAGGCCAAGGCAGGAGGATTGCTTGAGCCCAGAAGTTGAAGACCAGCATGAGCAACATAGCGAGATCCCATCTTTACAAATAATAAAAAAATTAATTATGTGTGGTGGTGTGTGCCTGGGGTCCCAGCTACATTGGGAGGCTGAGGTGGGAGGATCACTTGAGCTTGAGAGGTGGTGGCATGAGCTGAGATTGTGCCACTGCACTCACTCCAGCCTGGGTAACAGAGAAAGACCAATCTCAAAAAGGAAAAGAAAACACAGAAAAGCACAGCAGAAATAATAAAATCACACGTAACTGCATTCCCTCAAAATAACCACTGTAATTTTTTTCACATTTTTCCCATCTTTTTTTCTGTGCATGACTTTTTACGTCTCTCTATATTTATGAAATTATAATAACAAAATACTATTTTATTTTCTTTTTAAAAATTACACAACATGGCCAGGCGTGGTGGCTCATGCCTATAATTCCAGCTACTCGGGAGGCTGAGGTAGGAGAATTGCTTGAACCCAGGAGGCAGAGGTTGCAGTGAGCCCAGATCATGCCATTGCACTCCAGCCTGGGTGACAAGAGCGAAACTCCATATAAAAAAAAAAAAAGAAAAAAAATTACACAAAACTTTATTGTGGAAATTTTCTTGAATATTTTGTCATATAATTTTGATGGTGAGTGGTATTCTAGATTATAGAACATTCAGGTAAAGAATACTGAGGTTATTACTTTTGCCTATATATGTTTGAGCATATATCTGATAACTATGTTTGCTTAGTCTTCACTAATTTGAAATGATATATTTAGCATATCAAAAAATGCCTAGATGTAACGGGCTATTTATTGGTTTAACACTGGTTCACTGATTTGTCTCTTCTGGCATCAGCACTATTTTGCTGTAGTTAATAAAATATAAGTTCAGGTTAAACATCTTGCATTGTGAATAGGAAGTATTTTATTATCTGTTCTCCATATTACTGTTTTGGGTGAAATTTAATTTAGCAAACGTAGTATCTATATCAATATGATCCAACATCTTTCTGTCTTTCATCTATTTAATTTTTAAAAAACATTTTCTGGAACCTACATTATGGTATCACATAATAATGGTATTAGCAAGCTTCTTTATCTTATTCATACATTTAATGAAAATACTAATAATGTTTCTCTGTGAATTTTGTTGTTTACTCTAGGTTCTGGCAGATTCACTTGATCTGATTAAAGTTTTCTTTTCTACCTAGTTTACTAGTTTTTTGTAGTAAGACTATGTACTGAATTTGATTAAAAACTTTTAACTCTTATAGGGATCACACAGCTTTTTTGTCTTTAAATATATTTTGCTACATTAAGAGATTTCATATGGTATCATAGTTGCATTGCTAAGATAAACCCTTTTGGCATACTCGTGGGTTCCATTTGCAAAAATTTCACTTAGGATTTTTGCATTTTCAATCTTATAATATTCCATCTCTTTTTCCTACTTGCCCTCCCTCTTTGCTCTCCTGTTCTGATTTTGATTCAGGGGCACTGGGATAATCTGTTTTCCTAAAGTGAGCTAAAAAGTGTTTCATTTCACCCCTGTGTGTTTTGGAAGAGCTTAGTAACATTGGAATTTTCAGATATTTGAAAGTTTATTAAAACTTGTCCTTAAAAACTCCTGATAAGACCCTGTATCATTTTAAAAGATTACATCTTTGATACCTTTTTAATGTTTTTCACTGATCTTTCCTAGAAAATCATGTTTTGTATAAAACCTCAAATTTATTATAAATTATACCTATTAATCTCTTATAATTAAAAATAACCTGCCATTTCTTTGACTTTTCTTGTTTCAAATGTGTGTGTGAGTTTTCACTTTGTTGTTGTTCAGGCCTGTCAAAGGTTTGGTGTTAGGTTTTTCAAAGTTTTATTGATGATGTCTACATCTTTTGTTTTTTATTTTAACTTAAGTTTCTAATTTCCCCCTTTTCTATCTTAAAACAATCTTTTACTCCTAATTCAATAGCATCCTAAACTATATACTTCTTTTATTTTCAGCCTTTTCTTTTCTAATCTTTGCATTTGTAAATGTTTCTTTGAGCATCATCTTGGGCTTATCTCGCAATTTAGTAATGTAGCACTTGTAGGTCTTGATACCTGTGCTCTCAAAATCAGTGATTTCTAAGTACATACGCTTTCTATTCTTGTCTCTATTTTCATGGAAGATTTGGCGTTTTAGGCTTTTCTAGTGAGTGTAATTTTTCTGGCTTTTGTTTTTAATTTATTATACTGCTTACATAGAATATGGTCTCCATGATTTCAGTTGTTTGGAAAGTAATGAATTTTTTCTCTAAGGCTTAATGGAGGATAAGATTTTATCCATGTTTTCCTAGGTGTTTTCAAGGAATGTGGTTGCTCAATTGGGTAGTGAGTTTCATATACCTTTGTCTTATCCATACTGATTTTTTTTGGTTATTCAAATTATGTTATCCTTTTGTTTACTTGATCTCACTGTGTGAGAGAGTTATAATTGCATCCCACTATTTTTGTTTTTCTATTTCCTTCTGTATTTCTGTCAGTTTTTCATTTATTTTGGGAGCTGTGTTTAGTTCATGTATGTTTTCTTTTCCTTTTATATTTATGTCTACATGAATTATTACTTTTCTATTTGATTCTTTTTCCTCAGGTTATATTTTTCTGATATCAATATTTTTATACTTCCTTAATCTTTGTTAAGCATTTTCATATCTTTTCATTTATTATTTTCAATAACCTTTTAAATATTTCTTTCAAATAACATATAGTTTTAAAAGAAATTGATTTGAATACTCCTATATTTCAATGTGGGAATTTAACTTATATTTATAAAAACTAACGTGGTTAGTCTTTAGTCTTATTTATGATTAATATTTACTTATTTTTAAAATTTGTATTGAGATAATTGTGGAGTGGATTCACATGCAGTTGTAGGAAATAATACAGAGGGATCCCTTGTACTCGTTGCTCAGTTTCCCCCATTGATCAATTTTGCAAAACTATTGTATAATATTACAACCAGGGTATTGGCATTGATATTGTTTGCCCTTCCTTATCCAGTTTTACTCATACTTATTTGTGTATTTGTGCTGGAGCCATTTCAGGCTAATGACCTCCCAATTAATTTTTTTAACAACCTTTATCACTCCCAGGTTACATTCAGTAATTATCGTGTGTGTGTGTGTGTGTGTGAGAGAGAGAGAGAGACAGAGAGAAATATCTGACTTTGGCAGACATCGTTGTTTTATTTGGTTTGGATTGTTTTATGTCCTCTCAGTTCCTCATCATCACCTCATTTGCAGCATTTTAAGAAATAAGTACTCCGTTAAAGATGACAGTATTTAATCTTGGGCTCTCAGCAAGCCTGTGAGCTAGTTATGCTTGACCCTGAAGGAAACTGAGTCTTTGAGGCACTGTATGCTTCAAATTATTATGCAGAACAATTACATGATAATCACTTCAATAATTGATTCTAATATACATAGTACTTAACTTGTAGCTGAGTGAATTCAAAGATGGTATTTTCAACCTTTTAAAATATACAAGGATAAACATATAATTTTCATGTGGGCCAAGATAGAAAATCATCTTTGCTTATAACATTTTGAATGAAATTTAAATTTTATAGTTGGAATAGTCTGAATGTTTGTGTTTCCCCAAAATTCGTATATTGAAACCCTACCCCCCAAGGTAATGGTATTAGGAGGTGATTGGCGCTCTTCTGAGAGAGATCCCAGAGAGCTGCCTTGCCCCCTTCTACCATGTGGGAACACAGAAAGAAGGTGCCATCTTAAGATGGCAGACACCCTCACCAGACACCTAATATGTGGGTGCTTTGGTATTGGACATCATAGCCTCCAGAACTGTAAGAAATAAATTTCTGTTGTTTATAAGCTACCTAGTTTATGGCATTTTTAGATAACAGCCTGAACAGACTAAGACAGTTACTTTATTGATGACTCAGATTTACAGAATTATCTTCTGGAATTTGCTAAATGTTTTAGTTATAACTTGTATCCACTCTGACTCTGTCTTTACCTTAAGATAGTCTGATCCTCCCAGCATCCAATAAATGTAAGCCATGTTCACTCTGAAGATGGTAATAGGAGTTGACTTGGAATGTCTGTTTCTGACTGCCTCTTGTTCTTATCACTTGCCTTCTGGCTTCTGAATCTGGCCTCAAAGTCATATTTGTGATTTGGGGGTTGTCCTTAGGATTTGGCATTTGAACATAGTCTCACCAGATTTTGATTCTGGGCTACCTTTCATGATCTTTAGCTCACACTTATGCTCCTTTCTTTTTTTGCATTACGATGTATGTTCATCTCTCCAATAAATATCCTGGTTGGGTCTAACTTTATTTGACGGTAAAAAGAAGACTGAATTTAGCCCAGGTTATACAGAGGATACCTGTAGATATCCTACAGAATACCATAGAAAAAATAAAGGGTATTGGGATGGAAACTTTGGGGGGAAAAATAAGTGGGGGTAGAGGGAACAGAGAACTAAAATACTTAGATTATTGGTAAAAGATAGAGAAGACTCTTGCTATTGGGCAAGCCATCATCAGGTGGACAAGGTTACCTGGTCTAGCACATTAAGAGGAGGCTTTCAGCCGGTGGCTCATACCTGTAATCCCAGCACTTTGGGAGGCCAAGGCGGGTGGACCACCTGAGGTTGGGTGTTTGAGACCAGCCTGACCAACATGGAGAAACCCCGTCTCTACTAAAAATACAAAATTAGCTGGGCGTGGTGGTGTATGTCTGTAATCTCAGCTACTCAGGAGGCTGAGGCAGGAGAATTTCTTGAACCCGGGAGGCGATGGTTGTGGTGAGCCAAGATCGCACCATTGCCCTCCAGCCTGGGCAACAAGAGTAAAACTCCGTCTCAAAAAAATAAAAAAAAATAAAAAGAGGCTTTCTCATAGGTGTGGCTAACTATCACAGATATATAGTTTTTAAGCAAATTATGTTTTTTAAAAAAATTAGAATGCCCTATAATTTAGTCTACATACATTAAGGAATACAGTGGGATATCACTCCTTCTTTAATTCTTTCTGCCTAAGAGGCTGGTAACAATCTCTTGACCACCATTATTGCCAAGGAAACATTCTGTTACTGTCTGGGTAATTTTTAGACCTTATTTAATAAGTTTGTGCTGAGATGGTACCTTCCTTTCAGGCCTTTTCTGCTAAGATATTAAGTGTTTAATTTTATACTTGGTTAAAAGATGGGTCTCAATGTTCTTTTTTCCTCAGCTCTTGCTCCTTCCATCTTTACTTCACTGAACTACCTTTCAAAACTCTTCATGCTCGTGTAATCACATCCTAACATAAATTTGCCTTTTAGGAAGACTTTTTGAAAGGATGTTGACTTGTGCACAGGTGTCAAACTCCTCCCTCCCAGAATCCATCTGAAAAACAAACTCTTAGAAAAACCTGCATTGACCCAAAATACTGTAGAGGAGCTACCAATATGCCAAAAAGTCTAATAAAATTCTGCTATTTATCTATAACTGCCACTAAACTAAGCGATGGTGCCAAGGGCTGCCAGGCTGCTTGCCTTCCTGAGAAAGCGAAAGAGTTATCACAGGAAATTATTAGAGGAGATGCTGGTGACCCTGGTCCCCTCTCATTCAGAGTGTGGGGCTGGAGAAGAGTGCAGGCCATGGCCATATTGGGAATAATCTGCCTGGAACCAGAATTCTGCCACTTTGAATCAATGGCATTTGGCAAAAACTCTTATAAGCCACTTAAGTGGTAAAGCCCCAGAATGGTAAGGGGATTCCCCTGGATGACAGAAAGTAACAAAGTAGTGAATGTATTAGTCTGTTCTCATGCTGCTAATAAAGACATACCTAAGAGTCAGTAATTTTTAAAGAAAAAGAGACTTAATGGACTCACAATTCCACATGGCTGGTCAAGCCTCACAATCATGGTGAAAGGTGAACGAGGAGCAAAGTCATGTCTTACATGGCTGCAGGCAAGAGGGCTTGGGCAGGGGAACTCCCATTTATGAAACCTTCAGATCTCATGAGATGTACTCACTACCATGAGAACAGTATAGGGTAAACTGACCCCATGATTCAATTATCTCCACCTGGTCCTGCCCTTGACATGTGGAGATTATTACAATTCAAGGTGAGATTTGGGTGGGGACACAGTCTAACCATATCAGTGAGTGAGGCCTGATGTGGCCTTGCTGTACATTTCATGGGAAGCCAGGAGAAACTGGAGGCAAAGTGTCTAAGAATCAGCTCTCCATCTCAGAAATGTAGAAGTGGAGCCCTGGTGGGTAGTGATAACCTA
Source organism: Homo sapiens (assembly GCF_000001405.40). Classification (NCBI taxonomy): domain Eukaryota; kingdom Metazoa; phylum Chordata; class Mammalia; order Primates; family Hominidae; genus Homo; species Homo sapiens. The sequence goes on from NC_000010.11 coordinate 80,787,025, forward strand.
TGGAGAAGTTATTCACATAATTTTGTGTTAAATAAAATATTTCAATACATCCTTTTTTTGCATTCAAAGGTGATTAAATAAGAAAGTAAAAACTTTTTTTTTTTCAGAAAACTGATTGTGTCATTAAGCAAAAGGAAAAATCAAATGATTATCTCAGTTAAAGATCAAAATGTTCTTTGAGCAAATCCCATATCCATTCCTAATGAAAATAACTCTTAAATGGTGGGTATAAAATTATATTTTAAATGATTTTATATCTATCTTAAAGGTATGTCAAAGTGGTAATATGTATCAGAGCCTTAAAATGTGCTTATCTTTTGCCTCAACAATTCCGTTTCTAAGAATTGAACTAATGAATAATTCAGAAGTGCACATGATATTTCCTTTTGAAAGTTGTTATCTATAATAGTAAAAATTGAGCACGACCTTCATATTCAACATTTGTAGCTTAGATCTTGACAGTACTGACACAAAATAAAAATCACATCACTGTTCAGCCTTTGGAAGTCACACTGTAGAACTGGGGTTGGCAAACATTTCCTGTAAAGGGCCAGGTAGTAAATATATTAGGCTTTGGGGTCCATGTGCTCTCTAACTGCAATGATTTAACTTTGCTGTTGTAGTGAGAAGGCAGCCATACACAACATATAAATGAATGAATGTGGCTGTATTCCAGTAAGACTTATTTATGGACCTTGAAGTTAGAATTTCATACAATTTTCTTTCATCACAAAATCATATTTTCCCCCCCGAACATTAAAAATGTAAAAACAATTCTTAGCTCACAAGCTATAAAAATGCATGCAGTAGGCAAGATTTGATCCCTGCTCTAGAGGAATATTTTGTAATAGCAAATAAGTTGATCATATATTGATAAATAATAAAATAATAAAATGCTGGAGAGGGGAGTAAGTTAGGACTCACATCCAGAGAGTAGTACGTAATAGTTGGTATCTGACACTGTGGTTTTGGTGCAAGCCGAGGCTTGAAATAATGCTCTCATGTTTCCTCTTTCTTTCTTGGACCCTGCCCTACCTAGGCTAGCCTGCTACAAGGGTGTAAGGCATGTATGTAGAGCCAAGTTGTCCCACTCAAGGCTATCATAGAGCAGCCAGTGGCCAGGAACATACCAACTGAATCCCAATGCATGCATGGCCCCGATAAGATCATCTAAGCCCAGCCTCCATGAGCAGAACTGCTCCCCAATCCACAGACTTGTGAGAAGTAATAAATGGTGGTTTTTGTCAACTATTAAGTTTGGAGGTGGTTTATTATGCATCAGTGTTAGCTGAATCAGTTAGTTTTGAGTAATGGCACTGATGTCTAAATCTGTAGGTAATCCAACAGGACTAAGTGGGGGCAGGAGGACCAATGTGACAGATCATGGAGGTACCAGGGAAACCAGCTCAGGGCAGAGGGTAGGACTTCACATCTATGGTGGGGAGGCCCTAATTCAGGGGGACATTTTTTATCTGGTCTGCATGGCTACATGCCACCCTGTTATTACTCTTTCAAAGACCAGGAAATGGCCTTGTTAGCCAAGAACATGTTTTTCAGGAGGTATCTCATGCTTGTTTATAACACTCTTGGATTAGAAATTTAGAGCCATGGGAGCTTCCAAGGAATTGTGATTGCAGCCATCTTCAGTATTTGCTTCTAGATGCTAATTTGGAATTTGGGCCACAAATCCCAAAATGTTTTAATAGTTTCTTCTAGAAGAATGAGGGACTCTCCTGTAAATGAATGTCCCTGGGCTTGTCGCAGATACTTCTGAGTTCCTAAGATGGATATGCATAGCAGGGCCATCTCTGACCCAAGTATTTTGACTGTTTGATCAGGAATGGTACCCTTTATTATTTTGTGCCAGAAGAGGGCATCTTACAATGCTGCATATACAGTTGACCCTTGAACAATGTGGTTTTGAACTGGGCCTGTCTACCTAACACGTGGATTTTTTTCAGACAAACCCAGATGAAAAATACTGTATTTGCAGAATCCAAAACCCCTGTATACAGAGGGCTGACTTTTCCTATACCCAGATTCCTCAGGACTGACTGCAGAACTTGAGTAAAGTGTGGATTTTGGTATACACTGGGATCCTGCAACCAATCCCGGGCAATCCCGAGGGATGGCTGTGTATGCATAATGAATTCAGTAACTTGAAATTGCTTTGGTGAACATAAAACTTATTTCCCTCCTTTTAGTGAATCCTTTTCCATCCAGAAACTGCAATCAATTATGGGATTTTCACCCTGCTGAGTAGAAATAACTTTAAATCCTTCACTTTTGCATGGCTCTTTACAAAACCCCTTCACAAAGAGTACTCCATTTATTCTCATTACAATCATATGAGATACACATTAGTATTCACATTTTAAATAAGAAGAAACTGAAGATAAGAGAGGAGAATAACTTATTCCAGGTTCAAGTTCATTAAGTGGCAGAAATGGCGCTTGAAACTCAGGTCCTTTGATTTAAAATCCAACTCCCTCTCCCTGACAGCACAACTTTCTCCCTGAGTGCAGCTTCTTACGTTAGCTATGTATGATTGATTTAACCAATTTTCTCCCTCCAAGGCAGAGGAACTGGTTTCTGTAAAGCATCACTCGCTGTTTCCAGGGGTCCCAGCTACAGAGTAAGTGGAAAGATTGGTTGCTTGTTAGGCAGTCATACAAAACATCTGCAAAACCCCTCATTTGTGTACCGTGGGAATGTGATTTAGACATTTCGGTCTAGAATTATACTCTAGAGGTCCGTTGTGGAATGTGCATTAACTAAATTACAGAACTATGCTAGATCCTTCTTTAATTTCCTTCTGTGTCCTATACTTCTTTTATTGACGACATCATTCTTCACATTCCCTAGGACTTTTTGTTCCCTTTTACTTTTCCTCTCATTCTCATGTTTGAATGGTGGCATCTAACCAGATGCCAAGGCGTGTGGGTCCCATCACCGTAATGTCATTAATCTCTCTTCCCATCCCTTCATTCCAGGGCTATGGCCTGATTGAGCCCCTTGCAATCTTCTACATAGGCCAGCTAGTGTACAGTCACATGGGGAGTCTGTTTCCTTCTCCCTGTCTCTTCCCATCCTTACCATGCATCACCCCCAGATTAACCTTTGGAAGCAGAACTCTATAACTTCTGTGTTTGTAGAATTCTCCAGTGGATCACTACTGATTACAAATAAAGTAGTAACTATGACTAGGCCTCCTAGGACTTTTTCTTTATCTTTTAGAACAGTTTTAGATTCACAGCAAAACTGAGCAGAAAGTACAGAGTTCCCATGTACCCTCTGCCCCCTCCCATGCAGTCTCCCACACTATCAACACCTCGCGTCAGATTGCTACATCTGTTATACCTGATGAACATGCATTGACACATCATTATCACTCAAGTTCTTAGTTGACGTTGCAGTTCATTTTATGGGTTTTGAAAAATGTATAATAACCATAATATTATCATACAGAATAGTTTCACTGTCCTAAAAATGCTCTGTGCTGTCTAGTCATCCCTTCCTCCCCACTAGCCTCTGGAAACCACCGATCTTTTTACTGTCTCCATAGTTTTGGCTTTTCCAGAATGTGATATAGTTTGAATCATGTAATATGCAGCCTTTCAGATTGTCTTCTTTCAGTAATAGGCATTTTAGTTTCCGCCATATCTTTTCATGGCTTGTTAGCTTATTGCTTTTTAGTGCTGAATAATAATCTGTTATTCAGGTGCTGAATAATAATCTATTGTCAGCGTGCACCAGATGATAGAATATCCCTTTTTCTATTCATTTACTGAAGGACGTCTTTGTTGCTTCCAAGTTTTGGCAATTATAAATAAAGCTGATAGAGATATTTTTGTGCAAGTTTTCGTGTGGACATGTTTTCAACTCACTTGGGTGGATACAATAGAGCATAAGTGCAGAATCACACTGGTAAAACTACAGTAGTCTCCCCTTATCTGCAGTTTTGCTTCTCATGATTTCAGTTACCCAAGTTCAGCCATAGTCTGAAAATAGGTGAGTACAGTAGTACAATATGATATTGACAGAGAGACAGACCACATTCATACAACTTTTATTATAGTTTAATGCTACAATTGCTCACTTTTATTAGTTCTTAATTTTAATCTCTTATGTGTCTAATTTATAAACTTTATCATAGGTATGCATATATGGGAAAAACATAGTATATATAGGGTTTGCTACTATCTGAGGTTTCAGGCATCTACTAGGGGTCTTGGAATGTATCCTTCATGGGTAAGGGGCAACTACTGTATGTTTAATTTTGTAAGAAAATACCAAAGCTATCTTCCAAAGTGGCCGTACCATTTTACATTCCCACCAGCAATAAATGGGAGGTCCTGTTGCTCCACATCCTCTCCAGCATTTCTGGTACCGTCAGTGCTCTGGATTTTGGCCATTCTAATAAGTGTGTAGTGGTATCTCATTGTTGCTTTAATTTGCAATTTCTTTAATGATAAATGATGTGAGGCATCTTTTCATATGCTTATTCATGATCTGTATACCTTTTTTTGTGAGGTGTCCAGGTCTTTTGCTCATTTTGAAAATTGGGTTCATTTTCTTATTGTTGAGTTTTAATAGTTCTTTGTATATTTTGGACAACAGTCCATTATTAGGTGGGTCTCATGCAAAGATTTTCTCTCAGTCTGGCTTGTCTTCTCATTCTCTTGACGACATCTTTCATAGAGCAGAAATTTTAAATTTTAATGAAGTCCAGCTTATCAATTATTTCTTTCACAGATCATGCCTTTGCTGTTGTATCTGAAAAGTCATTGCCATACTCATGGTCATCTAGATTATCTCCTAGGAGTTTAAAATTTTGCATCTAACATTTAAGTCTATAATACATCTTGAGTTAATTTTTGTTAAGAATGTAAGGTCAGTGTCTAGGTTCATTTTTGGTATGTAGAAGTCCATTTGTTATAGCACCGTTTGTTGAAAAGACTATCTTTGCTCTATTGCATTCCCTTTGATCCTTTGTCAAAGATCAGTTGACTATATTTATGTAGGTTCATTTCTGGGCTATTCTGTTTCATTGATCAACTTGTCTATCCTTTTGCCAATATCACCCTGTCTTGATTTATGTAGCTTTATAATAAGCTTTGACGTCCAGTAGTGTCAATTATTCAACTTTGTTCTTCTTCTTCAATATTGTGTTGATCATCTGGGTCTTTTGTCTCTTTGTATAAACTTTAGAATCAGTTTGTTGATATCCACAAAATAGCTGCTAAAATTTTGATTGGGATTGCATTAAGTTTATAGATCATCTTGGTAAATATCGAGTCTTTCTATTCTTTTTTTTTTGAGACAGGGTCTTGCTCTGTTGCCTAGGCTAGAGTGCAGTGGCACAATCTTGGCTCACTGCAATCTCTGCCTCCTGGGTTCAAGTGATTCTCCTGCCTCAGCCTCCCAAGTAGCTAGGATTACAGGCACAAGCCACTGCACCTGGGTAATTTTTTGTGTTTTTAGTAGAGATGGGGTTTCACCATGTTGGCCAGGCTGGTCTTGAACGCCTGATCTCAAGTGATCCACCCACCTCAGCCTCCCAAAGTGCTGGGATTATAGGTTTGAGCCACCGCACTGGCTGAGTCTTTCTATTCTTAAACATGAAATACCTTCTGATGTATTTAGTTCTTGGATTTCTTCATCAGAGTGCATAGTTTTCCTTATATAGATCTTGTACATGTTTTCTTAAATTTGTACCTAAGTACTTTATTTTTGGGGGTACCAATGTAAATGATAGTGTTTTTTATTTCAAGTTCCATTTGTTCATTGGTGGTACATATAAAACTTGTTGACTTCTGAATATTAACTTTATATCCTACAAACTTGCTAAAATTATTTATTAGTTTCATAAGTATTTTTGGTCAATTCTTTCAGATCTTCTTCATAGAAAATCTTGTCACCTGCAAACAAAGGCTGTTTAATTAAGATTTTCACAATTTACCCTCAATCTTGTCCTTAGCATTATTGTTTGCAGTTTACCTTCAATTATCCAATATTTTTTACTTTTCTGGTGTGTTTTTTACCTCTTGAGATTACTCCCTTTTTCGTCTTTGTCCATATCCAGGGGAGGCAGTGGGTGCAGTGGCATCAGGTGCAAGCTCTGAAGCCAGGTTCCTCCTAGTTCTGTCATTTACCTGCTGTGAGGCCTTGGGCAAGTTACTTAACACCATTCGTTTGTAAAGTGGAGATGAGTATCTTCCTGATATGTGCCAAAAAGATTGATTGAAAGAACATGCAGGGCAGAGAGTGGGCAAATGCTTAGTAAATACCAGGTAAGATAGTAGACACTTTATTGAGATATTAAGTTGTATCATGTTTTCCTTTATATTCTTCTTCCTCCTATCAGGATCCGGGGGAGGAGATGGAGGTAGATTTCAGTCAAGTCTTTCTGGATTTTGTTTCACAAAGACTGTGACTTTTGAGGGGAAGAGTGTTTGAAGAGCTCAGGAAGGCCTCTGAGGGAAAGGAGAACAGGAGGGAATGCCTGCAGACAAAGAGAGGGTCTCAGGTAGCAGAGAGTCTGGTTCTTACAGGCAGTAGAAACCTACTGTTTCCCATCATGTAATGACTGGAGGAATGGTGGGACCTGAAGGAATGGATTCAGGCTAATTCTAGCCACTCCATAGACTGTATCAAAAGCCTAGAAGGAAATAGCAAAATGAGAGCCTCAAGAGACCATGTGGGGAAAGACAGTCAGTGTGCAAGCAAGTATCAGTAGGGGTAGGGGACCTACTACTAAAGAGGTACCCTTGATGATACCTTGGAAGTTTTCAGGCCTTAGAACTTTGGCATAACCCTAGGGTGAAAGGATTGAAGGCTTAAGAGTGATTAAAGACCTATTTCCCATTAGCCTAGCAAAGAAGTTTGTGGTCATAAGTTGGTTTACGAAAAATAAAGAAAATATGTATTGCACACCTCAGTTTGTTAACCGATACATAATAACTACACTATCATCATCTTCATCGCCTTATTATGATGTCATTTACACTCTCAGCAATGCAGTCTCTCCTTATGTCTATAAGCCCAAATACTATTCATGTTCCCAGGCCTACCTCCATTATCTTCTCTGTGAAGCATTGCCTGATCACTCATCTGGAATTGCTTCTCTCCACTGAACAAAAACTGGTAACTCCTAATGCTCATGTGTTGCTTCCACTAGTAGGCTGGGGAGTTCCTAAGTGTGGAATTCACTTTTTTGCCTTTTTAAAGAAAGTATACTTAGATTTACTACTTATCTATATGTATCTCTCTTGCTGTACATATTCATTTATTCCTGGTGCCTGTTTACATATCCTGAAGTCTAATAGTAACACAAAATGGAAGAAATTATGGGTCAAGCAGGAAACCTTGGAAATCTCCTTCTCTCCTTTGCTGCTAGGGGTTTGCCATTATCTTAAGATGCCAGAGCTTGAGACTCAGACATAGGTGTTCCTTTGGCTCATTCCCTTTAACAGTTAATTGTTTTAGGACATCTCTGCTAGTCCCGTGTATTATTCTTGGGCATAGCAGCTGAGATTATGTACTCGTATTTAAATGTTAAGTGATTTATAATCTTCAAAAGGAAGATGGAAGCCTTCATTTCAGAAATCCAGGCTAGTTTGCAATGTATGGAGGGCCCATTTGTATCACAACAAATGAAGATTAGGGGGAGAGGCTTCTATAATCTATATACATCTACATAAGTTTGGGGTGTTCCATTTTACTCTCCTTGCAATTAATCTGATGAGTTAACTTAGTAGTAGCCAGCATCAACTTGGTCTTATCTAGGTTATCTTAGGACCCAGAAGATGCTTTGGCTGCTGGGTATAAAAGTCCCAATTAATTCAGTAATAGGGCCCGTACAAGGCCTTGCAAAGTAGAGTGAATAGTGCCTCCATGCTCAAAGAATGGGCCACTTCAGTTCTGAGTAAGTTTACAAGGTCCTTCCTTTTAAAATCAGTTTATTTCTTCTTTAGAAACTTAGCTGTTAAGTCCCCACTGGCTTAAATAGCTGTGAAACATTGAACATTCATTTGCTTTTGAGCCCTAAGTGAATAGCCAAGAGAATCGGTTTCTTTAGAAAATATATATTTTATTCTGCCCATTGCGTCTAAATGAATCTACTGCAAAGCTGTGTTTACCCACATCCATATGCAAATATTGACTTATGCATTGCAACAAAGTAAGCTTGGTAGGTTTCAGAAGGAAAACACAACACAGATAAACATTTATAAGCAATTCAAATATTAAAGAGCTTCAACATTTCGAAAGACATTCAAATATGAGTTTTTCTGGGATGTCATTATGGTGCTGCAGTCATTTGCAAAAATAGAGTTACTGAACTACATAGCTTTTATGTGTGAAAGTATGCCTTTATTTTTTGACAGCAATAAAATCAATATGTTAAGTATTCATACCATTCTTTATAGTCCTTCAGGAGATATAGTCAGCTCTATATTCTCTTTTAAGGTGATACTATAGTAAAATGAGACAGTAAATTTCATAAACTATCATAAGTATTGCTAAATATTCCTGGTAATCATGGGTAAGGATTGTTTTAAATGTTTACTCTGATATTAAGAGGTATATTCACTTTGTGGCAGAATATGTCATTTTAACCTTCTTGAGTCTGGTATTTGTTCCTTTAATATAACTTTTATTAAAATGTCATAGAACTCAGTTAGTGTATATGCCACTCCTTTGAATATCCCAATAGCTGTTTTCTTTTTTTATATACAGTTACACTAAAATGTGGTTTTAAATTGCTCTGAGGAATGCCAAAAACTGGTAAATTCATACCTCAAGCAAACCCCAGAGATGCCAGAGTGGTCCTAAAGATCTGTTACTGCCCCTACTTCTACCACCCACCACCCCTGGGGCAAATCTGCTGTAATGATGCTTCACAATAAAACACACAATACTGTTATGGATTATTAACTATTAAGAGCAAGAACCTAAACTTTGTTTGCAAGCCTTTTCTTGCATCGCTTTTATTAAATAATAAAACCACTGTTATTGAAAGAAATAGAATTGACATTCAAAGATTCTTTTTGCTTTCAGTAGCAAAGCCAAGGAGAGACTGGGATAAATAAGTGACCATGAAATGCTAATTACCAGAAAGGTTCCAGTTAATTTATTTATTCAACAATGTTGATTGTGAACTGACTTCTGAAAGTCATTGGCTAAATCCTGTTTAGGATTCATAACATGAGACTGAGAGGCTGCTCTGCAGGGAACTGTGATCTTCAAGTTGACTTATGACACTGCAGGCATATCAACAAGACACAACAATAAAATGTTACTTGTTCAAGGGAAATACAAATAAGACCTGAAAGAGTGCCAAGAAGGAAGAGATCATTTTTGACTAGGTGGTCCAGACAGACATAATGGAGGAAGTAGCATATAAGATGATCTTCAAAGTGTAATCGAAATTCCGTAGATGTGGTGATGGTGGCTTAGGAAGAGGAAATGGCCCAAGGAGAGGTACGGAGATGGGGAAAAAGTGAAGCTTGTTGGGTTTTATTTTGTGGTCCATTCTGGGTTCCAGCAAAAGTTTCATGAAGGGAAATCATGGAAAATGAGACCAGAAATGGAAGACTAGATCCTATGTGGAGAGTCTCTTGTCTGTGTGTTATTGATTAGTTTTGTTAAATAAGTATTTATAAAGTTCCCAGTCTGTGCCTGACACCGTGCCACTGTGCCAGGCACTGGCATTCATAATACAGAGGGCAGATGGGGTAGTCATACTCATGGTGTTTAAAGCAGAGTGGAAGAATCAGATGATGAAATGAGCAATTGCAATAGAATAGAACAATCCATGTTGTGCAGGACGTCATCTGTTTTCCCCTAATGATCCACTCTCCACCAGCGCCTTCCACCTTGCTGTGTGCTCTGACTTTTGTGAAATGCAGGAAAAGACTCCCTTGCCCGTGGCTTCTTGGGAGGTTCGAGAGTGGAGGGAGGATGAGGCTGGGACAATTGTTCCCCAGCTGTCCTTCTCCTGGTCACTTTGAGTTGGCCGTGTCCTTCCATTGAAGGCCATGGCTCCTACTGGGGAGCCCTCTCCACACAGCCCATCTTTGAGTTCTGGTAACTGCTCTCTTTTCTTGCTCCCTCAGAAGCAGTGATGGCAACTTGGTGTCATAAGCCATGGAGCACTTCTACCTCCCCTCACCTGTGCCATCTGCTGCCTGATGGGCTCCTGACTGATACAGATGTGATAGTATATTTGTTTCCTGAGGCTGTTGCAACAGATTACCACAAATTTGGTGTCTTAAAAGAAATTTGTTCTTTGAAAGTCCCAGAGGGCAGAAGTCTGAAATCAGTATCACGGGGTGGAAATTAGGATGTCCTATGGCTCTGTATTTCCTCTGGAGGCTTCAGGGGAGTCTGTCTCTGGCCTCTTTCAGCCCCTGGGTGGCTGCTGGCATCCCTTGGCTTGTGACAAATCCCTGCCTCCGTTTTCACACCACCTCTTCTTCTAGGCGTGCCTTTCCCTCTTCAGTGTAAAATTTCCTTCTGCCTCCCTCTTATTCAGACACGTGATTGCATTTAGGGTCCACATAGATGATCCAGAATAATCTTCCTACTTCAAGATCCTTAATCACATCTGCAAAGACTCTTTTTCTGTATAAAATCAACAGGTTCCAGAGATTAGGACCCAGTATCTTTTAGCAGTCATATCCAGCCACCACAGAGAGGGAAGTGCAAGGTGCTAGGGAGGCACAGAGCAGAGAGGGCCCAACCAGTCAACTAGATCCCTGGATGTCTTCCTAAGGAGTAAGGAATACAAATGCTGCATTTGAAGGATTAACAGAAAATACCTAGGCAAAGGAAATCAGGGCATGGAATTGAGTGAGGGGCTGTTAAAAGCAACAAATAGCTGGAGCAAAGGCCTGGAAGACAGAGCATGCCTGACCCATTTGAAGACCTAGCTGCCTTAGGGTTTGGCTGGCAGTAGAGCCGGGGGAGAAGCTGGTGGGGAGGTGGTTGGCAGGAGACGGGGCCAGGATATGAAAGGTCTTCTCAGTGACATTAAGGGATTTGGACTTGGCCCAGCTGGCAAAGAGCATACCTTACATACTTTTAAACAAGGGAGTGATATAAAAGTAGGGCTTCAGAAAGATTAATTTAATATTGAGACACAGGGCAGGTTGCAGCGAGGAGATCCTGGAGGCAGGGAACCCATTTGAGCCATGGGATGAAAATTTCACTGATGTTGGCTGCTCAGTAAACATCCAAGGGTATTAGATGCTGAGTAGAGTGGGCCCGATGTCATAAATTATTGATGAATATTTATTAACTTCTGAGAGCCTGTAGACTGTGAGTAGTTCAGTAAGATGGGAAAAGGGCCTGGTACATGGTCTAGAAGCATACATAAGGTTTGCAATTTAATTGCACTAAGCTCTTCTTCCTTCAAATCATTGTTTCCTATTTCAGAAATATTTAATCTACTTGTTATGAGTGTTTTGTTTGATAACACATTACTGTTTCTACAAAGAAAGCTTAGTGTCTGAAATTTAATCCTGGAAGTCAAAGGCCAGGAATAAAACATCTGTGGGCTCTAGGAAACTATTTCCAATGAAATCTTCAATGACATTAAGTAGAAAAGTGTTAACCAGAGCACATGATTTTGAGTCATGCTAAAAAATATTGGAAGAAAACAAATGTGGCACAGGTGCTGTGTAATTTTAGAAGTATAATTTGGAATATCTGACACTTACGTACCCTAATAATGGATAAACACAAAAGAATCTTCACAATGTGTTGATCTGGCAGAATGTAAACAATTGACTTGTTACTAAGCTGCTTTTTACTTATTGAAATATATTCTCCTGAAATGAAATAAATAGACCAGGAAAATCTTATTTTTTAAGTTTTAAACCACTTAGGAAAAATAATTAAATATGAAGTGTCCCAATTCTGCCCTCTCCCGCAATTATATCACACTGTAAAACAGTGTCTATCTTAAGGGGAAAATTGTCTATATTCAATTATCTATTATTCACTTTTAACAATTTCTTAATTACAGAAAGTGTGTATAGACTATGGGTAGCATGCAATTTGAGCTCTCCCAAAGAGAGAGTTGATGAGTTTGCTGTGTGCAGATGATTTGAAATGAAGTTTTCTGAAAATTAGAAAATTACAAAGTGATAATGGAAAGACAGCAATAAGGATTCCTAGAATTGTGCCTACAGTCAGAATTTAGAAGTGGAATTGAACTGAGATATGAACTTGCTTAGCCAAGACCCACCCAAGAAAATAAAAATGTGCATTACAGAAGGGTCTGTGCTTGACAGGGGAAAGCCATCGCGACACTGTGCTACTCCATGACCCGATTCAAACAAAACTGCAAAAACAGTGTACTGATAGAAGGTACTCATTAAACAAATTTTGAAAAGAGAATTGGAATGTATTTCATTCTGATAGAAAACAAGTAGCTAATAAGTCAATTTATCTTTTGGACAAAGCAGAAAGTGATGAGATGGAGGATTGAAGGGATGTAACTGTCAATCATTTTGGGAAAATTGTGGAGGTTTTGAGCTGTCCAAGTTAGCAAAGGTGGAGCTATTAATACATCTCTCAGAATTCTCTTCCCTCTATGGTTCCAGGTGAAGGTTGGCCACAAGAGCTGCTCGTATGAGATTTGGAAGGGGAACTGAAGTGGCAGCTCATGTTCCTCAGATAGGGTGCACTTACACACGGCACTGACTAGCCCCTGGCATTGGTCTGGGACAGTGGCTGGGCTCAAGGCTCCAATTACAGCTTCTCTTTCACCTTTCTGACCATTTATTATTTCTTCTCCATCCCTCCCTTTGCATACCTTTCCCCTCCTATTCATACCGTGATGATTAATTTTTTGTGTCTAGACTAAGCATGGTTTCCGGGTGTGTCTATGAGGGTGTTTCCAGATGAGATTCACACTGATTGGTAGACTCAGTAAAGCAGATGGCCCTGGGCACTGGATGATTCCCAGTGTGGGTGGGCATTGTCCAATCCATAGAGGGCCCCCATAGAGCATAAGGTGGAGGAAGGAGGATGTGTCCCCTTTATTTTCTGCTTCACTACTTGAGCTGGGACATCTCATCTCATCTCATCTTCTTCTGCCCTCAAACTGGGATTCACACCATCAGCTTCCCTGCCTCACAGGGCTGGATCACTCCACGGGCTTTTCTGGGTCCCCAGTTTGCAGATGGCAGATTGGGGGACTTCTTAGCCTTCCTAATCTCTCTCCACACACACACATGCACATGCACACACACCCCCTATTGGTTCTGTTTCTTTGGAGAACCCTGAATAATACAATATCTCTTTGCCTCTGGAATCCCAGTTCTATCTTGTTTTGGATTTTTCCAGGACACAGCCTCAGCTGTCATGAGAGTAGAAAAATTCCATATTAATAGATAACTAGTCAGACACAATGGCTCATACCTGTCTGTAATCCCAACACTTTGGGAGACCAGGGCAGGGAGATCACTTGACGCCAGGAATTCAAGACCAACCTGAGCAGCATAGTGAGACCCCATCTCTACAATTCTTTTTTTTTAATTATCCAGGCATGATGGTGTGCACCTGTGTCTGAGCTACCTGGGAGATCACTTGAGCCCAGGAGTTTTGAGGCTGCAGTGAGCTATGATTGCACCACTGTACTCCAGCCTATATGATAGAGACCTATCTATCTCAAAAAAAATTATAGATAACCTACAGCAGATTCGTAGCCCTCCTTATGCTGGTCATCCATCCATGGTTAAGAATAAGTTGATGGAAAATCTGGGGTAGCAAAAATGTTTTCCTCCACCAGTGCATGGGGCCAACAAAAAGTCTTGTTTTTTCCCCCAAGTACCTTTGCTGACCTTACTGATGAATCTCACTTTTCACAGGTGCTGATAACCAGATAGGATGGTGTTCTTGCTGTGTAAGCATGCTAGCCTTGGAAATGAATGCACTGTGGTAACCTAGGTTAGGGTCTCATCTTTTAACCTCTTATCATTAACTCACCTCACTTTGCCAAATTATCCGAGCTATTAACTGTATTTATATGGTGAAACAGCCAGGATTTCCATCCAGAAATCTCAGAGCCACCTGCTTCACAGCTCTCCTTGTTGAAGTTTTCAAGAGATACAAGCAGAGGACACTCAAGATAAAAACACACATTTCTGCTTGCTAAGGCAGGTAGCTCGCTAATCTCCCAAACTATTGCCCCCTTGATCTTCTCTGGCTTAAGGCCTAGCTGGACTGTATTTATTGCTCATGGCATTTTTTTTTTTTTTAAAACCCATTTGGCCTTTTAATGGGGAAGAGGGTGACCTTTTCCTAGTCAGAAGAACAACAACATAGGTCCAGCTGACTGCAGCATTTGATGCAGCTCTGTTGGAAAATGAGAAACAACCCTTCTTTCTCCCAAAAGAAAATTCTACACAGACGACATTTAAAGTCCTTTGTTTTGCTTAGCCTAACTCCTACAAATGGCACCATGGCCTGGTAGTTCTTGATTTATACATTTCATTCATTCAATATTTATTGAGTGTTCCAAGACGTAAGGGATACAGCAGTAAAAAATAGACATATTCTGTATTTTCATGCAATTTGTATTCTAAGTAAGACATGAACAAATACACAAGAAAATATGTAATTACAAATTGTGCTGGGTCTCTGAAGGAAAAGTGAAGCTTGTGATTAGGGGTTTTAATAGGGTAACAATTCAGGAAGGGGAGAGAGAGAAGGATTTACTGAAGAAGTGATGTTTCAGCTGAGGCATGAGTGATGAATTTGAGTTAGGTTGTTAAAGAGTTGGTGGCAGGGACACATTCCAGGCAAAGAGAAAGAACATAGGTTGTATGTACAAAGGTCTTGGGACCACCGCCTCCTCAGAACCTCCTCAGAAGAGAGCTGGTGTGTGAGTGGTATAAAGACATCATCTGATAATTTAGCAATTTGTAATTCATTTGGGTCATACTGAGTTACTTCAATATTTCTTAAAAGCATGTACAACTAACTGCAGGGCCCCCTTTTGTTGCCTTCACTTGGGAAGACATGGCAATAAGGTAAAAGGATACAACATACCATGCTCACTTTCTGTCTTCCAGAATTTCAATGACCTCTCTACTTTGTTGGGCCTCTCACTTCCCATCTTTAATGCACTTTAAACACCATCAATTTCATGGCAAATTTCTTTCATCCTTATTTGGCAACGGGAGACATGTTAGCTGGGCAGGATGCATTGGACCTGTCATCTTTAACTAGAAGCCACTAAATATCTACTGAAATTGTTCATTTTTCACCTTTACCACCACTGGCCTAGACCAAGACATTTTCACTTCTGCGTCAATCTTCTTGCACTGCTTTTTCTTCTTTCCATTCTCTGCTTCCTGGAAGTTAGTTACAGTTTTTTTCTTTTTTCTTGTTTTTAATATATACCTGACCATGTTGCAGCAGTACTTAAAACCCACTCTGTAAGATCACCCAGGACCACTTTTCAATTACTTTGTTTTAGTGATACTGGGTGATTTTCAGTTTCTGGAAGGAACCACATTCCCTGCCAGCTCTGATCATCACACTACGGTTTGTCTCTGCCTGGACGCTACAAGAAAGTATGTAATGACCTCGCTGTGTAGGCCAGAAAGAGTCTAAAGGATTGCTGGGGTTAAGCAATTGAAGAAGGGTTGGGGACTTTACAGTCACATGGGGAATAAAGTCCCCAAGGGAGGAGGGCATGAAACATATGAGGCTTCCCTAAGAAGTGTCTGGAGGTGCCAGGAGGGTGTGAGAGGTCGTATTAAGGATTTTGGTCTTTCATTTTAAAGGCATTGGAAACCACCAAAGATGAAAAAGCAGGCCAGGTACGGTGGTCACGCCTGTAATCCTAGCACTTTGGGAGGCCGAGGTGGGCAGATCACCTGAGGTCGGGAGTTCAAGACCAGCCTGACCAACATGGAGAAACTCCATCTCTACTAAAACATACAAAATTAGCTGGGTGTGGTGGCACATGCCTGTAATCCCAGCTACTTGGGAGGCTGAGGCAGGAGAATTGCTTGAACCTGGGAGGCGGAGGTTGTGGTGAGCCAAGATCGTGCCATTGCACTCCAGCCTGGGCAACAAGAGCGAAACTCCGTCTCGTAAGTAAGTAAGTAAATAAATAAATAAATAAAATGTCCATGGAGGTTGCTCCATTGTCCAAGAATCATAGCTAGTGCCTAAACCCAGGAAAAAAGTTGTCATTTACCCATATTCTAAATTCAGAAATCTACCAGCTGACAGTCTTTTGAAAGGTTTGAGTCTTAAAATAAGCCCTGCCAACAACTCTAGCACATATACTAATAATGGTAAAGAAACAGGAGGCAGGGGAACTTCAAGAGAATAATTTCTAAATACCAGGAGTGAAGGTGGGGCAGGGAGGTGGAGGGTTTGTTATTTAGCTTTTAAATTGTTTCCAATATTTTGCCTAAATATGAACATATCACTTTTCCTAAATGTAAATATTCTTCCCATGCAAATGGTATGCATTTGTATGAATTCCTAGAATTGGACTTCTTGGGCCAGACGTACACATTTTTAAGGCTTTTGATAGGCACTGTTTGCCTGCCTTTTTTTTTTTTAGAGGTTTTAGAACTTTTGCACCAACAGAAAAGAATAAAATGACTGTTTCACTGCACTCTTAACAACATTGGATGCTATATTTCTACATATTTATAAAACTTATATTTAGTTTAATAGTTTGAATAAATAATGATACATTCACACAATATAATCCTATGTAGTTCATTTAGAATGTATATTTTGTAAAAATGTTTAATGATATGGTAAAAAATTTAAGAGAAAAATAGGCAAAAGTTTTTAAAAATCCATGTAAGTATAATTCTGTATACACATTCTCAGACACAGAAAATAATTGGAAAGAATGAACCAAAATGCACAAAGTAGTCATCTCTGAGTGATAGAACTATGAACCATTTTCTTATTCATATTTTTTTTTCCAAATTTTCTCTAATGAATAGGTTTTGCTGTTTCAGAATAAATTTTTATTACAAAGAAAATGCATTTACATCTAGAAAATGAAGACAAAAGAGAAGAAAATTAAAATGTCCTGCAGGCTGGATGAGGTGGCTCATACCTGTAATCTCAGCACCATGGGAGTCCAAAGCAGGATTGCTCAAGACCAGAAGTTCAAGACTGGCCTGGACAACATAGCAGGATCTCATCAACAACAACTTAGCCAGGTGTGGTGGCATATGCCTGTAGTCCTATTGACTTGGGAAGCTGAGATAGAAGGATCACTTGAGCCTGGGAGTTTGAGGTTGCAGTGAGCTATCATGACTCCACTAAACTCCAGCCTGAGTAACAGAGTGAGACAACATCTCAAAATTAAAAAAAAAAAAAAAAAAAATCTCCTGTAATCTTGAGCATTTAAAGTTCATAACATTTTTTATAGCCCTTCATCATATCTATGGGTATATATGCCATATGTATGTATGAAGATACACACACACATACACACATAAGCTGTATTCAACAGTGATAGGGTTAAATTTGCACCATGATGATTCAGAACCATCTTTCCATAAAATGGTCAGATATAAACCATTAACTGGGCCGGGCGTGGTGGCTCACGCCTGTAATCCCAGCACTTTGGGAGGCCGAGGCGGGCAGATCATGAGGTCAGGAGATCAAGACCATCCTGGCTAACATGGTGAGACCCCCGTCTCTACTAAAAATACAAAAAAGCTGGGCATGGTGGCAGGCACCTGTAGTCCAAGCTATGCAGGAGGCTGAGGCAGGAGAATGGCGTGAACCCAGGAGGCGGAGCTTGCAGTGAGCCGAGATCGTGCCACTGCACTCCAGCCTGGGCGACAGAGCGAGACTCCGTCTCAAAAAAAAAACAAAAACACCATTAACTGGCAAATAAGCAAAATAAAATAAGCAATATATGCAGAGGGAAATTATAGGTGTATTGATCTGTGGCTATTGACATGTGTACACTCAAAAATACAATAGATATAACTTAAGATAATACTCTACAGTTTTTTTTTTAACACATTGTAACTTCCTGTACTCCGTATTCATTTCTGATGCCTGCTATATGACATTGAGCGACTTGATCTGAACACGTCAAAGCTCATCATTTATTAATGAGGAAACTACTTTAGCACCAATGGTTCTCAAGGTTCGTTGTGTATTTTTGTATATTTAAATTACCTGGGAAGTTTTCAAAAACACTGAAGCCTGGAGCTCACCTCCAGGGACCCTGATCAGAGATGGAGTCCCAGAATAAGTTTTTTAAAAGCACCCCAATGTGTTTGTTTCAAATGCGAAGCCAGGATTATGAATCAGTGAGGAAGATATGCCAGTTTGACATAATATGTGTTAGATCCAGCTAGGTTCCCTTTTCAAACAGCTTATCCAGTTTCCCCATTCTCTATCCTATAATTCCAAATACCCCTTGCTTTTGCTGTGCCCCAATTTGTCAGAATATGCCTAGGCATGCCTGAACTTGCTACAACCCCACTCCACATTCCTTTCCTTATTAGGGAATAGGTTACCTTCCTACTCCCCCTGCCCCCTGTAAATGACCCTCCTTCTCTCTTTTCTCACCTCCCTTACGTGCTGACCTTATCTAAGAAAGTTTAAATGTTTAGCCAGTTGGGACTAGTTTAGATTGTGTGGTCTAACCCTAGCCAATAGGGGAAAGACACAGAAGCAGAAGCTGCATTAGAGATACTAAAAACCCCTGCTTTCCTTTGTTCTGTGTGCTCTCACCATTGCTCCATATGTGAGATGCACCCTTCTGCAGAAGTAAATTTGCCTTGCTGAGACATTCTCAGTCTAAGTGCTTGTTTTCTTTGCGACTCAGAGGTCTTATTTGTAGGGGAAAGAAAGAGATCAGACTGTTACTGTGCCTATATAGAAAGGGAAGACATAAGAGACTCCATTTTGAAAAAGACCTGTACTTTAAACAATTGCTTTGCTGAGATGTTGTTAATTTGTAGCTTTGTCCCAGCCACTTTGACCCAACTACTTTGACCCAACCTGGAGCTCACAAAAACATGTGTTGTATAAAATCAAGGTTTAAGGGATGTAGGGCTGTGCAGGACGTGCCTTGTTAACAAAATGTTTACAAGCAGTATACTTGGTAAAAGTCATTGCCATTCTCTAGTCTCAATAAACCAGGGGCACAATGCACTGTGGAAAGCCGCAGGGACCTCTGCCCTTGGAAAGCGGGGTATCGTCCAAGGTTTCTCCCCATGTGATAGTCTGAAATATGGCCTCTTGGGATGAGAAAGATCTGACCGTCCCCCAGCCAGACACCCGTAAAGGGTCTGTGCTGAGGTGGATTAGTAAAAGAGGAAAGCCTCTTGCAGTTGAGATGGAGGAAGGCCACTGTCTCCTGCTTGCCCCTGGGAACTGAATGTCTCGGTATAAAACCTGATTGTACATTTGTTCAATTCTGAGATAGGAGAAAAGCTGCCCTGTGGTGGGAGGTGAGACATGTTTGCAGTAATGCTGCCTTGTTATTCTTTACTCCGCTGAGATGTTTGGGTGGAGAGAAACAAATCTGGCCTACGTGCACATCCAGGCGTAGTACCTTCCCTTGAACTTAATTATGATATAGATTCTTTTGCTGACATGTTTTTTGCTGACCTTCTCCTTATTATCACCCTGCTCTCCTACTACATTCCTTTTTGCTGAAATAATGAAAATAATAATCAATAAAAAGTAAGGGAACTCAGAGGCTGGTGCCGCCGGTGCAGGTCCTTGGTATGCTGAGCGCCGGTCCCCTGGGCCCACTGTTGTTTCTCTATACTTTGTCTCTGTGTCTTATTTCTTTTCTCAGTCTCTCGTCCCACCCGACTATAAATACCCACAGGTGTGGAGGGGCAGGCTACCCGTTCACTTATTCCCAACAATATGGGAGAAAATGGGTGCAAAAATATAAGACTTCTAACTTGGCACTTAGGGACAGGGTTCAATTCACAACATGGATAATTCTTAGCCATCTTCCCATAATGATCAGACATGACCATGAACTGCAAATAACAAGCAGTATATGCAGATGCAAATGATAAGCAAATTGATTTGTGGCTATTAGACATACCAAACAACAAGGAGTTATTTCTTGCCAGGAGCCAATTAGTAAATACATGCAAAATGTATCAAGTGAGGTCAGCTAACAGAAACAGTCTTGCTTTTCCTCAAACCGCTGTTGGTGAATTTTTCTAGCAAGCTTTCAAAGATGCTGAAATTCAGTTTGTGGAATTCTCAGTTTCTTGGAAAAAGAGTTTCTTCCTCAGTACAGTAGTATATTTAACCAATATACCATATTTCATCAATTCTAAGATGTACATTTTCATATTTTAATATCTGAGATTTCAATGTGTCTTAAAATTGATAAAAAATAATATTGTTTAACTGGTAGCATTGTTTTCTTTCTTAGTGGCACATAAAACAGTGGGACATCTTAAAATCAATGATGCAGTATAATATGATATGTGAAAAATACTCAGAATCTGACCATTTCTTAACGGCATTACTGCCATCTTCCTGGGATAAACCTCCATCATCTTTTGCTTATATTATTGCAATAGCCTCCTAACTTGTCATTTTGCTTCTACCCGTAGCCTGACTTCAGTTCATTCTAAACACAATGAACAGAGTGTTCCTGTTAAAACTGAAGCCTGGCCTTTGCCTCAGGACCCTGCTTCCTGGCACCTCTTCCAAAAGTGGCTCCCTTCCCTCACACAGTCTTCACACCGCTGGACCTCAAAGGTGGGGAAGTGTCCTTCCTGCTTCTCATGCAGATTCTTACCATTCTTCCTGCTTCCTCCATAAAAACCCTGAGCTTTGCATGTAAACATTAGACTATAGGATTGGCCAATCAGAATTCATCTTTTTCTTTTTGAGACAGAGTCTTGCTCTATTGCCCAGGCTAGAATGCAATGGCATGATCTCAGCTCACTGCAACATTCGCCTCCTGGGTTCAAGTGATTCTCCTGCCTCAGTCTCCCAAGTAGCTGGAATTACAGTGCCTACCACCACGCCTGACTAATTTTTGTATTTTTAGTAAAGATGGGGTTTCACCATGTTGGCCAGGCTGGTCTTGAACTGCTAACCTCAGGTGATCCACCTGCCTCAGCCTCCCAAAGTACTGGGATTACAGGTGTGAGCCACTTTGCCCGGCCAGGATTCATCTTCATTGTGGCCATCTATGGCTGCCAGGTCATGTCCATGAAGGTGTTGACTTCCAGTCACTGTCATTCTGTCTGTTACTCCTATTGTAATTTTTGGTGATTTAAACACACACTTGGATAATCCTTCCAATTCCTTGGACTTGTGGTGCCTTACCTAACCTTTTCTTTAGTGATCTTGTCCTTTTCCCTACATTGGTATTCACTTTCGTGGTAAGCCACGATCTTGCCCCAAAACTTCATCCCCTCTAAAACTGTGACTTCAAGCACTTTACAACTCTCCCACCAGCTTTCCTGCTCATCCCTTTTAGTACTTGGCTTCAGTAATTTCAGTGTCCACCTAGACCTTCAATTCATTATCCTCTTCATATCTCTCCCTCATGAGCTAAGCTTAAATTCTGTGGTCAATCATTTAATGGTTCTCTTGCATACAGCCTCAACTCTCTTGACTCTTTTCAGTTTGTCATACTGCTCAGTAAAACCACTGATGAAATGCCTCCCAGACCTGGATCCACATCTGAAATGGCTGTAGTAAAACATGCAACCATGCTCATTGCTCTCACTTTGCATCCATGATCAATAACCTCAAGTGTACCTTTACAGCTGCCAGGAGATCTTTGCATCCATGATCAATAACCTCAAGTGTACCTTTACAGCTGCCAGGCGATCTTTGCATCCATGATCAATAACCTCAACCTCAAGTGTACCTTTAAAGCTGCCAAGCAATCACATCGTATTTTCCAGGTTAATTTTCCTTCCTACTATCTTAGATAGATGTTTCTTACTTTCTTTACTACCCTTAAACCTCCTATATTTTCTCCCTATCTTCACTTAGTTGATGATACCAAGAAAAGTGAATAAGAATACTTTTAAAAAGTGAATAAGTCAAAGAGCTCCCACAAACTCCTACCACTGCATCTAACTCCTTACTTGCATAGGTGTCTACATATTCTATATATTTTTTGTCATTTTGGATGAATTGTTCATCTTCCAGCAGAAACAAGGCTCTCTTCCTGTGCAGTAGATCCCATCCTCTCTTACTCACATCCCTCTAGGAATTTTCCCATCTCTCTCCTGCATCATCTTCCCTCTTTCTTCTGGGTCATTCCTATAAATGCAGCAACATGCTGTTATTTCTCCCAGTTTAAAAAGCAAACAAAACTTCCTTGACCTCATCACTCAATTTCTTTCTCTTGCTATTTGCCGAAAAGCTCTAGGGAGAATCATCTATTCCAGTTGCCTCTATTTCTCTTCAGTTCTCTCTTGAACTCACTCCAAACAAGTATTCCCTCCAAGCCTCCACTCTGAATGCTCTTGTGAAGCTCACAGATGACCTCCACTTTGCACAAACCAATGCTCTCTCTCCATTTTTACTTGAGTTATCAAAATACACAAACCTCCTCTCAGAAACACTTCTCTTGGCCTCTAGGATCCCACTCTTTGTTTTCTCCCCCTTTACCGCCAGCTGCTCCTTTTCAGGCTCCTTTTTTTTTTTTTCTCTTTCCTAACCTCAAAATGCGCTCCAGGGCTTAGTCTAGGAATCTGTCCTTGTTGTAGTTTACATACATGAAATCCCTAGATGATCTTATATGCTCCATGGCTTTAAATATACCAAAGGCTGAAGACTCCAGAAATTTTATCTCCAGCCCAGAACTTTACCAGAACTCTAGATCCATATATCCAACTTCCTACTGACATCTCCATTGGGATGATAATGGGTATCTCAAAGGTAACAGATCTCAAATGTAATTTCTGATATTTCTCCCAATACTTGTTCCTTATGGGAAAATATGTATTTAAAAGGATACTGAATCTTACATGACAGAATATGGAAGAAAAAAAGTGGCTTATTCAGGTAAAAATACTATGCTTCTCACACCAGAGGGAGAACATTTTTTAAAACTTTAATTAATGCTGTGGGTGGATTTATATATTTGGAATTGTAGCAATTCCATCAAAGAAGAAAATATATTTTTACCTCCTTTGAACATCTGTGGGTTTAAAAATTCCATTTTAACAGGGGACTCAGAAAAAATAGGATTTTTCTTTACTTGCTTTATCAGCTTTCTGTGTCTTGCATTTTTTATTTGCAAAATGATTTATGCCATTTCATGAGCTATTTTAATTTAGGCTATTGGGCCATCTTTTGATTATTCATATAATCCCAAACAATACAAACCTCCCTCCTTCTTTCTCACTTGAAAATGAAAAAAAACGTGAGGAGGGATGGAGTTAATGTCTATGAAAGATTCAATTATTATTTATACAAAAATCCACAAATAAAAACATTTTTCCAGCCTGGCCAGCATGGCGAAACCTTGTCTCTACCAAAAATACAAAAAAAAAAAAAGTTGATGCACGCCTATAGTCCCAGCTACTCAGGACACTGAGGCAGCAGTGAGCCCAGATTGCACCACGGCACTCCAGCCTGGATGACAGAGTGAGGCTCCATCTCAAAGAAAACAAAACAACAACAAAAAAATTTTTTACTGTGTGGAAGTTACCTGAAAAACTCTTGGAAAATATTCATGGAATTCACATAGTTTAGGTTATATAATCAGTACAGATTACACTGATTTAAGTCAAAACAAATGCACCTTTTAGTACCACAGGTCAAGGTAAGTACGGGATCCCTTCTCTTCTTGCTTACTCTTACTTGCTTATTGAAGGATAAAACTTCAATAAGTACTCTGTTGTATTAAGCACTTTTTTCTTTACTGGATTTTCTCATTATCATATAATATGGTGTAATATTTCCAACTTAGAGTGAAAAACAACATTCCCTTACTACTTTACCCTTTCCTGTGACTATCCCATTTCTCTGTACTTCTGTATTTAAAAATTCCTCAAACGAGTATTGTACACATTCCTCCCATTCTTACTTAAACCCACTTGTGTCCATCAATATTAGGTTTGACTGCATATAGTAGAAAATACAACATAAAAGTAAATGAAAAGATAGTCATAATTTCTCTTTCTCATAAAACAAGGTCAGAGGTAGTTTGGTTAGGGTTGGTATGGTGACTCCACGGACATATGGGATACACCTTTCTATTCTACCATTTTAGCTTAGTGCTTCTAAGGTCACATGGTCCACAAAGGCTGCTGGTACTCCAGCCATCACATTGGGTTTTAGTGCATAGAAGGCATGACCAAAAGAAGGTGTATTCGTTATGCCTATTCCCACTCCTCTGCCTCAAAATGGCTTCACAATGGGTGGAGAGTAATAACCCTCTTCACTGACTTTGGGCTCAGAGTGCGAAATCTTTGGCCAATGGGTAGAAGTGACCATACAGGTTCTGAGCGGAAGTATTAGGAGTCTTGGCACGTTTCCATAAGCCCTCTTGGAGCTTCCAGCCCTACCAATGGGAATAGCATGCTTTTCTTCCAGTCTGGTTTTGAAGCAGCCCAGATCTGATCCAAAGCCTGGAGTGCAGGCTCACCCATTCAAGCCTATTAACCTCAGCTCAGATTAGTTAAGCCAAACTGCTAATCCAGAAGCATGAGATAAAATGTTGGTTGTAAGCTATTGATGTATTTTTGGGTTGTTTCATAGTACTATCACAGTAAAAATATGACTAATGCAGAAGGGCATGAGGTGCCTCATGGCTAGATTAGTTGGCTTCTTAGGAATGCCCCACACACCTGTGCTTATTACTTGTCATATAGTCATATGTTGAAGAGAGAGAGATTGAAAAATGTAACTGGGTACATTTTAAATAAAACTAGAATTCTTGTTACCAAAAAAGAACAGCACGTGGCTTTTGGGTGGAGTCCAGTTACTTCCACATGAGTTCAATCAGGCATTTTCTCCAGCCCTCCAATGAGACAGCTCTTGTCACATCAATCCCAGTCATTGGCCTGTCAGCAACCTTTGCTGCAGTTTATTCCTTAAAACACTTTCCTATTTTACTTTTCACACACCATTTGGTTCTTTTCCTACCTCATTAGCCACGCCTTCTCTATGTCCTTTGTATTTTCATCCACCTCCCTGAGCTTTCAATGTTGCTAGGAGCTCAGTCCTCAGTCTCTTCTATTCTCCAGCTACCTTCACCCTCTGATAGATCTTGTCCAGACCCAAGGTCTGGATACATCTATACACACTGAAGACTCCCAGATGGGTATCTTCAGCTCAGAGCTATCTCCTCACTTCAGATTTGCATATCCAGCTGTCTTCTCAGCCTCTCCACTTGGTGTCTAGTAAGCATCTCCTTTGTAGCATGCTCCAAACAGATCTATTTTCCACCTCATTCACCTGAAATTGTTCCTCCTACAGCCTTCTCCATTGTAATTCCAAGCCTTCTAACAACTCAGGCTAAAAATTATTTCTATCTTTCTCAGCAGTTTAAGTTCTGGGATACATGTGCAGAACGTGCAGGTTTGTTACATAGGTATACACGAGCCATGGTGGTTTGCTGCACCTATCAACCCATCATCTAGGTTTTAAGCCCCTCATGCATTAGGTATTAGTCCTAATGCTGTCCCTCCCCTTTTTCCCCTACCCCTGACAGGCCCCATTGTGTGATATGCCCCTCCCTGTGTCCATGTGTTCTCATTGTTGAACTCCCACTTACGAGTGAGAACATGCAGCATTTGGTTTTCTGTTCCTGTGTTAGTTTGCTTTCTCAGCTTTTTCAAACCATCAGCAAATACTATTAGCTATCTTTAATATATAAATAAATAATGCTATATTCATACAATGGAACAATACACATTAATGAGAGGGAATGAACCCACTGCTTATGGGAACATAGATGAATCTCATAGACTAATATTAAATGAAATATGCCAGGTATAAAGGCATGCATATTATATTATTCTGTTAATATAAAGAATATAAACAGACAAGCCGAATCCTTACTCATGGAGGTCAGAATAGTGATTATCTCTAAAGAGAATATTGACAGAAAGGGCCAGGAGGGACTCTTCTATTAATATGTGATTATATAAGTATACACATACACATACATATATAAGTATACACATTTTCACATACACATATGTGAAAATGAGCAAATGAAGGTTCACTTAAGATTTGCACGGATTAATGTAAGCTATACTTCAATAAAAAGAAATATTATTGGTTTATATTATTGGTTTCTTACTAAGAACTTACAAACTATATATTCCCTACGATATATGGCTGAAAAATTTAATTAAGTTATATTTGTAGGTACGTCTGTATCTACATAGTGTCTTTACAGAACTGGCCACTTTTTAATATATCCACCGCTGGTCCAAGACATTATGACTTCTTGACCAGATTATCAAAATAACCTTTTAGTTAGCATCCCTACTTTCCCCTTTATCTCCCCTGCAGTCTATTTAGCAGTAAGAGTATGGCTTTAAAATTAAAATCAGATACACTCTCTCTCTCCCTCTCTCTCTGTCTCTCTCTCTCTATATATATATATATATATTTTTTTTTTTTGAGATGGAGTCTTTCTCTGTTTCCTAGGCTAGAGTGCAGTGGTGCAATCTCAGCTCACTGCAACCTCTGTCTGCTTCCTGGGTTTAAGCGATTCTCCTGTCTTAGCCTCCTGAGTAGCTGAGATTACAGGCATGTGCCACCACACCTGGCTAATTTTTGGATTTTTAGTAGAGACAGGGTTTCACCATGTTGGCCAGGATAGTGTCGAACTCCTGACCTCAGGTGATCCACCCGCCTCGACCTTCCAAAGTTTTGGGATTACCAGTGTGAGCCACCGTGCCCGGCTGAAATCAGACTATATTATTAATCCTCTGCTGAAAACTCTCCAAGGATTACCCATTTTACTTAGGAGAAAAGCCAAAAATCTACATGGCTGTATTTCACTTCCTTCCAGTGAGAGGTGACAACCTGCTGGCAGTCCTCGCAGCCCTCACTCGCTCTAGGCTCCTCCTCTGCCTGGGCTCCCACTTTGGTGGCACTTGAGGAGCCCTTCAGCCCACCGCTGTACTGTGGGAGGCGCTCTCTGGGCTGTCCAAGGCCGGCGCCTGTTCCCTCAGCTTGCTGGGAGGTGTGGAGGGAGAGGCACCGGTGGGAACCGGGGCCAACGGGAGTTCCGGGTGGGCATGGTCTCAGTGGGCCCGCACTCAGCGGCTGGCCGTCCCACAAGCCCCAGGCAGTGAGGGGCTTAGCACCTGGGCCAACAGCTGCTATGCTCGATTTCTCACCGGGCCTTAGCTGCCTCCCCGCCAGGCAGGGCTCCGGACCTGCAGCCCGCCATGCCTGAGCCTCCCCACGCCCCCAGCTCCCCCACCTGGGCTCCTGCGCAAGGGAGCCTCCCTGACAAGTGCCGCCCCCTGCTCCACGGTGCACAGTCCCATCACCACCTAAGGGCTGAGGAGTGCAGGCTCAGGGCACTGGACTGGCAGGCGGCTCCACCTGTGGCCCTGGTGCGGTATCCATTGGGTGAAGCCAGCTGGGCTCCTGAGTCTGATGGGGACTTGGAGAATCTTTATGTCTAGCTAAGGGATTGTAATACACCAATCAGCACTCTGTATCTAGCTCAAGGTTTGTAAACACACCAATCAGCACCCTGTGTCTAGCTCAGGGTTTGTGAATGCACCAATCGACACTCTGTATCTAGTTAATCTGGTGGGGACTTGAAGAACATTTGTGTTGACACCCTGTATCTAGCTAATCTAGTGGGGATGTGGAGAACTTTTGTGCCTAGCTCAGGGATTGTAAATGCACCAATCAGCACCCTGTCAAAACGGACCAATCGGCTGTCTGTAAAATGGACCAATCAGCAGGATGTGGGTGGGGCCAGATAATAGAATAAAAGCAGGCTACCTGAGCCAGCAGTGGCAACTGGCTCTGGTCCCGGTGTGGAAGCGTTCTTCTTTCACTCTTTGCAATAAATCTTGCTGCTGCTCATTCTTTAGGTCCACACTGCCTTTATGAGCTGTAACACTCACCGCGAAGGTCTGCAGCTTCACTCCTGAGCCAGTGAGACCACTTAACCCACCAGAAGGAAGAAACTCCAGACACATCCGAACATCAGAAGGAACAAACTCTGGACACGCCGCCTTTAAGAACTGTTAACACTCACTGTGAGGGTCCGTGGCTTCATTCTTGAAGTCAGTGAGACCAAGAACCCACCAATTCTGGACACACTAGTCCCTGCTCGAAAGCCACCTAACCAGTGAGGACCCCCATGACAGCCCTGGATAAATAGTATCCCTCCTGCCTTCCTGACACTTCCTAATCCCTCTGACTGCTTTAGTTTTCTTCATAACTCAAATCATCTTATGTATTTAGTGGCTTTTTTTCCTCCCTTCCCTACTAGAATATATGGCAAGGTCTGTGTTCTTTTCCCTTGGATATAGATGGACCTTCTGACTTCTTGACTAATAGACAATGGTAAATGTGACCATATTGCTGGGACCATGGTCCAGGTTGCTGGGACCATGCCTTAAAATATTGGAGGTTTCTTCTTCCTTTTTTTGAGATGGAGTCTTGCTCTGTCACCTAGGCTGGAGTGCAGTGGCGTGATCTCGGCTCACCACAAGCTCTGCCTCCTGGGTTCACAACTTTCTCCTGCCTCAGCCTCCCGAGTAGCTGGGACTACAGGCACCTGCCACCATGCCTAGCTATTTTTTTTTGTACTTTTTAGTAGAGATGAGGTTTCACCATGTTAGCCAGGATGGTCTCGATCTCCTGACCTCATGATCCACCTGCCTCGGCCTCCCAAAGTGCTGGGATTACAGGCATAAGCCACCGCACTCGGCCCTTCCTGTCTTTTAGTACATCCTCTTTGGTATCTTTTAGTGACCATATAAGAAGTCCAATTACCCTGAGACCCCCATGTAGGAAAGTTCATGTATATGTGCGCCAGTGGTCCATCCAGCTGAGCCCAGTCTTCCAGCCATGCTTGCCAAGGTGCCAAACATGTGAATGAAGCCCCTTGAACCCTCTAGACCAGCCATCCCCAATCTGAATTCCACCAAGTGACCTTAGCCAAGGCCACATGGAGCAGGAAAAATGTCCGTCTGAGCACTGCCTGAATTCCTGAGCCAGTAATCATGAGATACAATAAAATGGCTGATTTTTTAAACCACAGCATGTTGAGTAAATTGTTAAGCAGCAATAGGTAACAAAACAGAAGTTGTTGGGGGTGTATGTGGTGAGAGCAGGGGTACTGATTAGCAGGTTTTATTGCAGGATGTACTCCAACAAGGAGCAGGTAGGCAGACTTCCTCCCCAACATCAATGTGAAAACCCAAAGGTTGGCCAGGTGTGGTGGCTTGCCTGTAATCCCAGCACTGCGGGAGGCTGAGGCAGGTGGATCTAGGAGTTTAAGAGCAGCCTGGCCAACACGGCAAAACCCCATCTCTACTGAAAGTACAAAAATTAGCCGGGCATGGTGGTGCCTGCTTGTAATTCCAGCTTCTCTGGAGGGTGAGGCTGGAGACTCGCTTGAACCCAGGAGGCAGAGGTTGCAGTGAGCCGAGACTGTGCCACTGCACTCCAGCCTCAGCGACAGAGTGAGACTCCATCTCAAAAAACAAAACCAAAAAACCCAAAGGGCTTTACCCTGTGCACCAACACCCAGAACACTGGCTCCCTTCAGGCAGATCATGCATTTTCACTGAAGAAGAGATTTTAGACTTCAGCAGGGGACAGGTTTGAACTGCTGCCAGTCACTTTGTATGTGTGTGGTGCAGACGATATATCCCAGGTGTCCCATAAGCACTCCTCCATTTATCTTGATCACCAGTTGGAGACTCGGAGGGGTTGTCAGCAGAATAGAAAAGTACCATTGGCATTCTCTGTGTGTTCTGGGCTGCAGCTCTCTGCATTCTGGTTTGTTGTTTGATACACTCTTCTCCCCTTTCTTTCCTACAGAAATTTCATCAAAGTGCCTAAGTCTGTCTACTCATGGTTCTGGTTTTATTATCAGAGCAGTAGCAGGTTTATTCCTTTCTGTGCATCTTTGCTGTCATTTCAGTGGGATTTGGGAGTGAGGGGAGGGAAAGACATGAGTTTCATTGTTCCTCTTACACCCAAACATATATTTCTACATTAAAAAATATATGGACGGAATTCTTTGAATGAAAGGGACTTCAAAGAAGCATGTGTGTGTCCAGGTGTGGTGGCTCTTGCCTGTATTCCCAGCACTTTGGGAGGCCGAGGTGGGTGGATCACCCGAGGTCAGGAGTTCAAGACCAACCTGAACAACATGGCGAAAGCCCATCTCTACTTTAAAAATACAAAAATTAGCTGGGCTTGGTGGCGGGCACCTGTAATTCCAGCTACTCGGGAGGCTGAGGCAGGAGAATCACTTGAACCCAGGAGGTGGAGGTTGCAGTGAGCTGAGGTCTTGCCATTGCACTCCAGCCTGGGCAACAAGAATGAAACTCCATCTCAAAATAAAGAAGCATGTGGGGATCGGGCAATATGGCCAAACAGGAACAGCTCTGGTCTGCAGCTCCCAGCGAGACCAGCACAGAAGGCAGGTGAATCCTGCATTTCCAACTGAGGTACACTGTTCATCTCATTGGGACTGGTTAGGCAGTGGGTACAGCCCACAGAGGGCGAGCAGAAGCAGGGTGGGGTGTCACCTTACCTGGGAAGTGCAAGGAGTGGGGGTCTCCCTTTCGCAGCCAAGGGAGGCTATGAGGGACTGTCCTACCCAGTCCAGATACTATGCTTTTCCCATGGTTTTTGCAATCCGCAGACCAGGAGATCCCCTCGTGTGCCTACACCACTAGGGGTGTGGGTTTCAAGCACAAAACTGGGCTGCTGTTTGGGCAGACACCAAGCTAGCTGCAGTAGTTTTTTTTTTTTTTTTTCCATACCCCAGTGGTGCCTGGAACCCCAGTGAGACAGAACTGTTTACTTCCCTGGAAAGCAGGCTGAAGCCAGGGAGCCAAGTGGTCTCACTCTGAGGGTTCCATTACCATGGAGCCCAGCAAGCTAAGAACCACTGGCTTGAAATTCTTGCTTCCAGCACAACAGTCTGAAGTTGACCTGGGATGATTGAGCTTGGTGGGGAGCGGCACATCAACATCACTGAGGCTTGAGTAGGTAGTTTTCCCCTGACAGTGTTAAGGAGGCTGGGAAGTTCAGACCGGGCAGAACTCAACACAGCGCGACAAAGCGGCTGCAGCCAGACTGCCTCTCTAGATTCCTCTTCACTGGGCAGGGCATCTCTGAAAGAAAGGCAGCAGACCCAGTCAAGGCCTATATATAAAACTCCCATTTCCCTGGGACAGAGCACCTGGGGGAAGGGGCCGTTGTGGGTGCAGCGTCAGCAGACTTAAATATTCCTGCCTGCCAGCTCTGAAGATAACAGAGGATCCTGACAAGGAGAGTTCTCCCAGCACAGCACTTGAGCACCGCTAAGGGACAGACTTCCCCCTCAAGTGAGTCCCTGACCCCCGTGCCTCCTAACAGGGAGAGACCTTCCAAAGGGGGTTGACAGACACCTCATACAGGAGAGCTCCAACTGGCATGAGGCTGGTGCCCCTCTGGGACAAGCTTCCAGAAGAATGAGCAGGCAGCAATCTTTGCTGTTCTGCAGCATCCGCTGGTGATACCAGGCAAACAGGGTCTGGAGTGGACCTCCAGCAAACTGCAGCAGCCATGCAGAAGAGGGGCCTATTAGAAGAAAAACTAACAAACGGAAAGCAATAATACCAACATCGACAAAAAGGACTCCCACACAGAAACCCCATCCAGAGGTCATCAGCCTCAAAGATCAAAGGTAGATAAATCCATGAAGATGAGGAAAAGCCAGTGCAAAAATGCCGAAAAATTCCAAAAACCAGGATGCCTCTTCTCCTCCAAATGATCACAACTCGTCTCCAGCAAGGGTACAAAACTGGACAGAGAATGAGTTTGAGGAATTGACAGAAGTAGGCTTCAAAAGGTGGGTAATAACAAACTCCTCTGAGCTAAAGGAGCATGTTCTAACCCAATGCAAGGAAGTTAGAACCTTGACAAAAGGTTATAGGAACTCCTAACTAGAATAACCAGTTTACAGAAAAACATAAATGACCTGTTGGAGCTGAATAACACAGCACGAGAACTTCATGAAGCATACACGAGTGTCAACAGCCAAATCAACCAAGCAGAAGAAAGCATATCAGATATTGAGGATCAACTTAACTGAAGTAGGCCAAACTTATTTGAAAAGGCCAAAACTACGACTGATTGGTATCCCTGAAAGTGACAGGGAGAATGGAACCAAGTTGGAAAACACACTTCAGGATATTATCCAGGAGAACTGCCACAACCTAGCAAGACAGGCCAACATTCAAATTCAGGATATCCAGAGACTACCACAAAGATACTCCTCGAGAAGAGCAACCCAAAGACACATAACTGTCAGATCTCCAAGTTTGAAATGGAGGAAAAAATGTTAAGGGCAACCAGAGAGAAATGTCAGGATACCTACAAAGGGAAGCCCATCAGACAAACAGCAGATCTCTCTGCAGAAACCCTATAAGCAAGCTGGAAGAGAGTGGGGACCGATATTCAACATTCATAAAAAAAAGAATTTTCAACCCAGAATTTCATATCCAGCCAAACTAAGCTTCACAAGTGAAGGAGAAATAAAATCCTTTACAGAAAAGCAAATGCTGAGGGATTTTGACACCACCAGGCCTGCGTTACGAGAGCTCCCAAAGGAAGCACTAAATATGGAAAAGAAAAACCAGTACCAGCCACTGCAAAAACACACCAAAATATAAAGACCAAGGATAAAATGAAGAAACTGTATAACTAATGTGCAAAATAACCAGCTAACATCATGATACAGGATCAAATTAACACATAACAATATTAACCTTAAATGTAAATGGTTAGATGCCCCAATTAAAAGATGCAGACTGTCAAATTGCATAAAAGAGTCAAGACCCATTGGTGTTCTGTATTCAGGAGACCCATCTCACATGCAAAGACACAAATAGGCTCAAAATAAAGGGATGGAGGAAGATTACCAAGAAAAAAAAAAAAAAGCAGGGGTTGCAATTCTAGTCTCTGATAAAACAGACTTTAAACCAACAGAGATCAAAAAAGACAAAGAACGGCATTACATAATGGTAAAGGGATCAATTCAACAAGAAGAGCTAACTATCCTAAATATATATGCACCCAATACAGGAGCACCCAGATTTATAAAACAAGTTCTTAGAGACCTACAAAGAGACAGACTCCCACACAGTAATAGTGGGAGACTTTAATACCCACTGTCAATATTAGATCAATGAGACAGAAAATTAGCAAGAGTGTTTAGGACTTGAACTCAGCTCTGGACAAGTGGACCTAACAGACATCTACAGAACTCTCCACCCCAAATCAACATATATACATTCTTCTCAGCACCTCAAAGCACTTACTCTAAAATTGACCACATAATTGGAAGTAAAACACTCCTTAGCAAATGAAAAAGAATGGAAATCATAACAGTCTCTCAGACCACAGTGCAATCAAATTAGAACTCAGGATTAAGAAACTCACTCAAAACTGTGCAACTACATGGAAACTGAACAACCAGCTCCAGAATGACTACTGGGCAAATAACGAAATTAGGGCAGAAATAACAAAGTTCTTTGAAACCAATGAGAACAAAGATACAATGTACCAGAATCTTGGACACAGCTAAAGCAGTGTTAAGAGGCAAATTAATAGCACTTAAATGCCCACATTAGAAAGCAGGAAAGATCTAAAATCCATACCCTAACATCACAATTAAAAGAACTAGAGAAGCAAGAGCAAACAAATTCAAAAGCTAGCAGAATACAAGAAATAACTAAGATCAGAGAAGAACTGAAGGAGACAGAGACACAAAAAACCCTTAAAGAAATTAATGAATCCAGGAGCTGGTTTTGTGAAAAGATTAACAAAATAGACCACTAGCCAGATTAATAAGGAAGAAAAGAGAGAAGAATCAAATAGACACAATAAAAAATGATAAAGGGGATATCACCACTGATCCCACAGAAATACAAACTGCCATCAGAGAATACTATAAACACTTCTATGCAAATAAACTAGAAAATCTAGAAGAAATGGATAACTTCCTGGACACATACACCCTCCCAAAAGAGAGCTGGTACCATTCCTTCTGAAACTGTTGCAAACAATAGAAAAAGAGGGACTCCTAACTCTTTTTATGATGTCAGCATCATCCTGATACCAAAACCTGTCAGAGACACAACAACAAAAGAATTTCAGGCCCATCCCTGATGAACATTGATGCAAGAATCCTCAATAAAATACTGGCAAACCGATTCCAGCAGCATATTAACAAGCTTATCCACCATGATAAAGTTGGCTTCATCCCTGGGATGCAAGACTAGTTCAACATATGCAAATCAATAGATGTAATCCATTACATAAACAGAACCAATGACAAAACCAATGACAAAAATCTATTGAGATAAAAAATTATCTCAATAGATGCAGAAAAGGCTTTCAATAAAATTCAACAAGACTTCATGCTAAAAACTCTCAATAAACTAGGCATGGATGGAACATATCTCAAAATAATAAGAGCTATTTTTGACAAGCCCACAGCCAATATCATACTGAATGGGCAAAAGCTGGAAGCATTCTCTTTGAAAACTGGCACAAGACAAGCATGTCCTTTCTCACCACTCCTATTCAACATAGTATTGGAAGTTCTGGCCGGTGCAATCGGGCAAGAGAAAGAAATAAAGCGTATTCAAACAGGAAGAGAGGAAGTCAAATTGTCTCTGTTTGCAGATGACATGATTGTATATTTAGAAAAACCCCATCGTCTCAGCCCCAAAACTCCTTAAGCTGATAAACAACTTCAGCAAGGTCTAAGGATACAAAATCAATGTGCAAAAATCACAAGCATTCCTATACACCAATAATAGACAAACAGAGAGCCAAATCATGAGTGAACTCCCATTCACAATTACTACAAAGAGAATAAAATACCTAGGAATACAACTTACAAGGGACCTGAAGGACCTCTTTAAGGAGAAGTACAAACCATTGCTCAAGGAAATAAGAGATGACACAAACAAATGGAAAAAAAAATCCATGCTTATGGATAGGAAGACTCAATATTGTGAAAATGGCCATACTGCCCGAAGTAATTTATAGATTCAATGCTATTCCCATCAAGCTACAATTGACTTTCTTCACAGAACTGGAAAAAACTACTTTAAATTTCATATGGAACCAAGACAATCCTAAGCAAAAAGAGCAAAGCTGGAGGCATCATGCTACCTGACTTAAATCTATACTACAAGGCTACAGTAAGCAAAACAGCATGGCACTGGTACCAAAACAGATATATAGACCAATGGAACAGAGCAGAGACCTTAGAAATACCACACATCTACAACCATCTTTGACAAACCTGACAAACCTGACAAAAACAAGCAATGGGGAAAGGATTCCCTATTTAATAAATGGTGCTGGTAAAACTGGCTAGCCATATGCAGAAAACTGAAACTGGACCCCTTACTTACACCTTTTACAAAATTAAGATGGATTAAAGACTTAAACATAAAACCTAAAGCCATAAAAACCCTAGAAGAAAACCTAGGCAATACCATTAGGACATAGGCATGTGCAAAGGATTCATGACAAAAACACCAAAAACAATTGCAACAAAAGCCAAAATTGACCAATGGGTTCTAATTAAACTAAAGAGCTTCTGCTCAGCAAAGGAAACTATCATCAGAGTGAACAGGCAGCCTACAGAATGGGAGAACATTTTTGCAATCTATCCATCTGACAAAGGGCTAATATCCAGAATCTATAAGGAACCTAAAGAAATTTACAAGAAAAAAACAACCCCATCAAAAAGTGGGTGAAGGATATGAACACTTTGCAAAAGAAGACATTTATGTGGTCAACAAACACATGAAAAAAAAGCTCATCATCACTGGTCATTAGAGAAATGCAAATCAAAACCGCAATGAGATTCCATCTCACGCCAGTTAGAATGGTGATCATTAAAAAGTCAGGAAACAACAGATGCTGGAGACGATGTGGAGAAATAGGAAGGCTTTTACACTGTTGGTGGGAGTGTGAATTAGTTCAACCATTGTGGAAGACAATGCGGCAATTCCTCAAGGATCTAAAACTAGAAATACCATTTGACCCAGCAATCCCATTACTGGGAATTTACCCAAAGGATTATAAATCATTCTACTATAAAGACACATGCACACATATGCTTATTGCAGCACTATTTACAGTACCAGTGACTTGGAACCAACCCAAATGCCCATCAATTAATAGCCTACCAACCAAAAAAAGCCCAGGACTACACAGATTCACAGCCAAATTCTACCAGAGATACAAAGAGAGCTGGTACCATTCCTTCTGAAACTGTTACAAACAATAGAAAAAGAGGGACTCCTAACTCTTTTTATGAGGCCAGCATCATCCTGATACCACATACTGGATAAAGAAAATGTGGCACATATACATCGTGCAATACTATGCAGCCATAAAAAAGAATGAGTTTGTCCCTTTACAGGAACATGGATGAAGCTTGGAACCATCATCCTCAGCAAACTAACACAGGAACAGAAAACCAAACACCGTATGTTCTCAATCATAAGTGGGAACTGAACAATGGGAACACATGGACACAGAGAGGGGAACATCACACACTGGTGACTGTCAGGGGCTGGGGGGCAAGCAGAGGGAGAGCATTAGGCCAGATACCTAATGCATGCAGTTCTTAAAACCTATATGATGGGTTGATAGGTGCAGGAAACCACATGGCACATGTCTACTTATGTAACAAACCTGCACTTTCAGCACATGTATCCCAGAACTTAAAGTTTAAAAAAAGTAAAAAAAAAAAAGAAGCATGTGTGAGGAAACATTGAGTTTTGGTCATTCTAGAATCCGCTCCTTTGCCTCCTGTTCAGATGCACCCTTGGAACTAGCTGGATCCAGCTAACCAGGCTTTGACAATGCAACCTCAGTCGAAAGCTGCCTCTTCTGGTTGGGGAAGGGGGAGAGAGAGTGGAGAGGGAGAAGGAGATGGAGAGAAGAAGCTGTCACCAAACCACGTTCCTTAACAAGGCTTTCAGTCCAGGCAGTGAATCTGCCCCCACAGAGTTGAACTTCATGGAATGGAAAGTCTAGGTGAAGCATATGTATATTTATTTTCAGATCTTATTTATTTATTTTTTTGAGACGGAGTCTCGCTGTCGCCCAGGCTGGAGTGCAGTGGTGCAATCTCGGCCCACTGCAGGCTCCGCCCCCCGGGTTTCACACCATTCTCCTGCCTCAGCCTCTCGAGTAGCTGGGACTACAGGAGCCCGCCACCTCACCCAGCTAATTTTTTGTATTTTTAGTAGAGACGGGGTTTCACCGTGTTAGCCAGGATGATCTCGATCTCCTGACCTCGTGATCTGCCTGCCTCGGCCTCCCAAAGTGCTGGGATTACAGGCGTGAGCCACCGCGCCCGGCCCTTATTCTTTAATTAACTGAACTGCACACATTATGACTGTGTAATTTAGAGGAGCATATATATTTTTATTGCACAGCCAACTAAAATGTTCATTAAGCATTTTAATGATGTGAGAAAACGCTTATGTTAAAACATTGAGAATGAAAGCAACAAAGCAAGCATCATTCAAAATCTTAGCTAGCTTATGACTTCAAGAAAGTGAAAAAGCATAGAACAGGATGGTGTGTGAAAACACTAATTTTATTTGCTTAGTAGGATTGAGGATTTTTTAATTTTAAAAATTCTTCTGTGTGATTTAAATAAACTTATTTTTTTAAGGTGAGAATGTGTGTGACAGGATATATAGGGCTTCTCTAAATCTGGTATGAAATGGATAAGGGTATATGCCTAGGCCTATGGCTGGCTAATAATTCAGACTGACCATGCCACTGAAAATAACTAGAAATACTGGATAAAAAAGTTAAAAACATCTTAAAAGCATGTAAAGTTGCCAAGATAGTAAGGAATTGACAGGTCAAATTTCAGTGAAGGCACTTTGGGAGGTCAGCGAACACCAAAGCCTCTGGCTCTTGCCCTGACAGCTTTGCTGAACTTGCCAAACTGACTGGCAGTTTTTGAGACTTGCTAGGTAAGGGAGAGAGAAGCCCAATATCCATCCAGGTTGGAGAGGCTAAGAGGAGAACATTTCGTAGAAAACCAGGACCCTAGAATCCCGTACTCTCTAGGGGACTGCAAAGACTTATCTTTGTTTTCAGCTGGGAAGGGATTAAAAATATCCCTAAAAAATTATAACCACAGGGCTGGGCTCGGTGGCTCATGCCTGTATCCCAGCACTTTGGGAGGCCGAGGCGGGTGGATCACCTGAGGTCAGGAGTTCGAGACCAGCCTGGCCAATATGGCAAAGCCTCATCTCTATTAAAAATACAAAAATTTGCCAGGAGCGGTGGCTCACACCTGTAATCCCAGCACTTTGGGAGGCCGAGGCGGGCAGATCACGAGGTCAGGAGATCGAGACCATCCTAGCTAACACGGTGAAACCCTGTCTCTACTAAAAATACAAAAAACAATTAGCCGGGCGTGGTGGTGGGTGCCTCTAGTCCCAGCTACTTGGGAGGCTGAGGCAGGAGAATGGCGTGAACCCGGGAGGCAGAGCCTGCAGTGAGCTGAGATTGCGCCACTGCACTCCAACCCGGATGACAGAGCCAGACTCTGTCTCAAAAAAAAAAAAAAAAAAAAAAGAAAAATATTAGCTGGGTATGGTGGTGTGTGCCTGTAGTCCCAGCTACTCAGGAGGCTGAGGTGGGAGAATCGCTTGAACCCAGGAGGCAGAAGTTGCAGTGAGCCATGACCATGCCCCTGCACTCTAGTCTAGTGCCTAGGGCAACAGAGTGAGACTCTTAAAAAAAAAAAAAAAAAAAAAAAAAAGAAAACAAAAAAGGAAAACAAGAAATTGTAATCATATGTCTACCTTTACTGGGATTCCAGTTACAACTTTCACCTAACCTGGGTGCCAGATGGATCTAGATTTTGTAGGAATTGATGCTTTTATGATTTGGGGTTGGGGACCTCATTAAAGGAAAAATATACAATTAAAATACAATAATTAAGTTCAAATATGAACATTCATTTGGAAGAGAAGCCACAACACATTCCAAATTTTAAAAGCTCAAAAATATCACAAACATCACAAACTCCAGACAAGTAACATATTTTATTAGTGGCTTGACAGCAATAGAACCCCTTTTTCTTCCTTTTTTGGCTACTTTGATAGCCACTTTATATGACAATGATTTTGTAATATAGCTTTCTATACAGAGAACATAAAGATGATTTAGTGTCTACTCTAGCATGGGTGATAGAAATTTATTTTGTTATTGATGGCTTAGAAAAATTTCTTTAAGATTCATAACTCATTACTGGTAATGTCATGCACATTTTTAGGATTATTATCAAATTTGGGAAGTTCTCTTCTAAGTTTCTTTCATATATGAGCTATAAAATTTCAGGTCACCTCAAGTTTTTGAGGATAGTGACTCATCTTAAATACTGTTAATGACCCCTCCCCCATTAACCAGTTTGTTGATGACATCTGGTTTGTAGTGACGTATTATCAGTTTTATGTTATTTTAGTTGGTGCCAGTATTTTGCTTCAAATTGGCAAGAAATTTAAGTCT
This sequence comes from Homo sapiens, assembly GCF_000001405.40. Classification (NCBI taxonomy): domain Eukaryota; kingdom Metazoa; phylum Chordata; class Mammalia; order Primates; family Hominidae; genus Homo; species Homo sapiens. The sequence continues at coordinate 80,826,784 of NC_000010.11, forward strand.
TTTTAAATGTGTTTAGATATTTCACTCTTTCATTAATTGCATTTCAAGCTGCCCAAGAATTCATTTCTTAATTTTATCTGAAATTTATGTCTTTCTCTCTATTATTAACTGCTCTTGGTATAGTCTAAACATTTTTTTGGCTACAGTTTTTGCTGAAATTTTTTGCTATTTTTCTTGATGTCAGAATAATTTTTATTGATTTCATCACTCATCTTTATTGCCTTTGTTGTATATTTCATTAATGTTTTATCAAAATTCCCTTCCAGTTCTTTTGAAATAAATTTAAAGATGACAAGAGCTATCCATTACATGGATCTAATTCAGGACTGTAATTTATCATTTGTTTTACTGAAACATTCCAAAATATTTTTCCAAATTGCAGTTAAAATGGCACATTTAAACTTTTTAAATAAACTTTTTTGTACCTTATTTGTGTTTTATCTTCTGAATCTTTGAAAATGTGTGTTTGAATCCTTAAAATATTGCTCTATTTGTGATCCAAGATTGAACAGTTTTATATGGGCAAGGGGTCTCATTTTTTAGATTATTTAAAGAAAACTCTATATTGGAGTGACATCACCAAGATGGTAAAATAGAAGGTAACCCATTGATATCCCCCAACAACAAGAATTCTGCACCTATCCACAGTTAGTCATCCTGCAGAAGCCCCAAGACTCAGGTGGGAGCTTGTGAAACCCCAGTGGAACCCAAGACTTAGGAGGGTCATTTTGAGAGTGTAGACTGACACCCATGTGGCTGATGTACCCTGCTGAGCTTGCTTCTGGGTTCAAGCCTGAAAACAGCCTAGTCCCTCAAGGGTTTGGGCTACAGCCCTGTCTGGTCTTGAGTCTGCAACCAAAACCATCTGTTAAGGGATTCAGAAGGAATCACACACAGTGGGGCCTTGATGGAAAGGCTATTCTGCCTGCTGACATCAATCTTAGGAAGTGAACCTTCAAGTTGTCCTGAGGTGCTGCTCTAGCTTTTCCAAGCTGGAGTCCCACCTCAGAGCTGCTTGCACAAGATCCCAGAGGAACACTTGCCCATATTTCACCACTGGGACCCTGGACCTCCCTGATGGTCTTGCCAACCTCTGTCCCACAGCAGATCCTGAAGGGGCCTGAGAGAGTCTCAGCTGCAGCCCTTTTCGTTACAGTTATGTAACTATCCCATCTGTGCTGACACCTGCTGGAATATGCGTATCTGTCTGTGCCAAGGAGGTGGGCTCTCCAGCCTTCATCGCACAGCAGAATTTAAGGGGACCTAGTCTCAGCTCTGGCTCCCCAGTACTGCAATCAGGGCACTATCCCATCATCTGTATGGGGACTTGATAGGAGACAGGTGCCCCTCTAAACCAATGAGAATGGGCTTTCTAGTCTCAGTTTGGCCTCACAGCAGATCCCTAGGAGGCCCAGTCTCAGCCCCACCCCATCCCAATTCAGTTAGGGAACTATTCTGTCTGTGCTGAGACCTGCTGGGAGATACATGCCCTTCTGGATGAATAAGAAAGGCTTTCCAGCCTCTGTCCCACAGTAGATCATAAGGGAGCTCAGCCTCAGTGCCAGCCCCACTTGCTACAGTCAGGAAACTATCACATCTGTGTAGGAATCTACTGGAAGATAGATGTCCATATGAGGTAATATGATAGGGCAGGCCAGCCTCCATCCCATAGCAGATCCCAAGGGGGGCCAAGTCTTAGCTTGAGTCCTTTTTGTTGTAGTTCCTCAACTACACACAAGTACAGGGATCTAATGGGTGACACACACCTGTCTGAGCCAGCAAGATGAACCCACCAGCCTCCTCCCCACAGCAGATCCCATAGGGGCCCTGTTGCAATTTTAGCCCCTCTTGCTGCTGTTGGGGACCTATCTTACCTGTGCAGAGATTTGCTGGGAGGCACATACATCTGGGCCACTGGAACAATCTTCCGGACTTAGGTCCCTGACCAGCATTCCCACATAGCCCCAGTACCCTCCTTGCATCTTCCTCAGGTCTGTCTAGGCTGGAAAGCTGTATTAACCTTAGAGCCCTTGTGAGTCTTGCAGCAAGTGCAGGTTTAGAGTGTTTTCTAGTGCTGAGATGGCTGCAGGACTCACAAGCCCAGGGAATACAACAGTCAGTTGGCTTAGAATCCCTGGAAGGCCCTCTGCAGGAGGACAGGCACAAACAATGCCAGAGTGCAAAGACTGAAATAACCACTGAATCCCTCAATGCATAGACATTCTTACACTTCCACAAGCATCAATATTATTTAGGGAAATATGACCTCACCAAATGGACAAAATAAGGTGCCAGAGACCAGCCCTAAAGTAATGGATGTGTGTGATCCCACAGACAAGGAATTCAAAATAGCTGTTTTAAGGAAGGTCAATGAACTTCAAGAAAATGCAGAGAATCAATTCAGAAATTTATCGGAGAAATTTAAGAGAGGTTGAAATTTAAAAACTCAAAGAGAAATCCTGGAGGTAAAAAATACAATGAATAAAATAAAAAATGTGATAGAGGGCATCAGTAGCAGAATTGATCAGGCAGAAGAAAGAATAAGTGAGCTCAAAGATAGACTATTTGAAAATATAGTCAGAAGGGGGAAAAAGAATGAAAAGGAATGAAGAAAGCTTACAAAATGAAGCAACATCAAAAGAGTAAATATTTGGGTTATTGGAATTGAAGAAGGAACTGAGAAAGACAAAGGGGTAGAAAGATTATTCAAAAAAATAAGAGAAAACTTTCCAAAACCAACAATATTAGTATCTAGGTATAGGAAAGTCAAAGGTCACTAATCAGATTCAACTCTAATAAAAATACCCCCAAGATATAATCAAACTCTCAAAGGCCAAAGACAAACAGAAGATCTTGAAAGTGGCAAGAGGAAAAAAAAAATTACATATAATAGAGATCAGATACACCTGGCAGTATACTTCTCAGCAGAAACCCTACAGGCCAGGAGAGGGCATGATATATTCTGAGTGCTGAAGTGGGAAATAAATCAACCAATAGTACTGTACCTAGCAAAGTATTGTTCAGAAATGATGAAGAGATAAAGACTTTCCCAGACAAACAAAAGCTGAGGTAATTTATTGCTACATGACCTGTTGAACAAGAAATGCTAAAGGGAGCTCTTCAAACTGAAAGGAAAGGACAATAATGTGATTGTTATACTAATATTATAAAGATGGTGTTTGAACCACATATCTTAAGTAAGAATACTAAAAGACAAAACTATTTAAAAAATTTAAGATAGGCAATATAAAAAAATTTAGATTGTGACCACAGAAATTCATAATGTGTGGGGAGAAGGGAGTTAATATGCACTTTTTTTGGTTTCTTTCTTTTCTTTTTGTGATCAAAGTTAAGTTGGTATCAGGTTTAAATACAGGGGGGTGGAGCCAAGATTGCCAAATAGGAACAGCTCCAGTCTACAGCTCCCAGCGTGAGCAACACAGAAGACAGGTGATTTCTGCATTTCCAACTGAGGTACTGGGTTCATCTCACTGGGGAGTGTTGGAAAGTGGGTACAGGACAGTGGGTGCAGTGCACTGAGCATGAGCCGAAGCAGGGTGAGGCATCGCCTCACCTGGGAAGTGCAAGGGATCAGGGAATTCCCTTTCCTAGTCAAAGAAAGGGAATCTCTGGGACACATTCAAAGCAGTGTGTAGAGGGAAATTTATAGCACTAAATGCCCACAAGAGAAAGCAGGAAAGATCTAAAATTGACACCCTAACATCACAATTAAGAGAACTAGAGAAGCAAGAGCAAACACATTCAAATGCTAGCAGAAGGCAAGAAACAACTAAGATCAGAGCAGAACTGAAGGAAATAGAGACACAAAAAACCCTTCAAAAAATCAATGAATCCAGGAGCTGGTTTTTTGAAAAGAATCAACAAAATTGATAGACCACTAGCAAGACTAATAAAGAAGAAAAGAGAGAAGAATCAAATAGATGCAATAAAAAATGATAAAGGGGATATCACCACCGATCCCATAGAAATACAAACAACCATCAGAGAATACTACAAACACCTCTGAGCAAATAAACTAGAAAATCTAGAAGAAATGGATACATTCCTGGACACATACACTCTCCCAAGACTAAACCAGGAAGAAGATGAATCTCTGAATAGACCAATGACAGGCTCTGAAATTGAGGCAATAATTAGTAGCTTACCAACCAAAAAAAGTCCAGGACCAGATGGATTCACAGCCAAATTCTACCAGAGGTACAATGAGGAGCTGGTATCATTCCTTCTGAAACTATTCCAATCAATAGAAAAAGAGGGAATCCTCCCTAACTCATTTTATGAGGCCAGCATCATCCTGATACCAAAGCCTGGCAGAGACACAACAAAAAAAGAGAATTTTAAACCAATATCCCTGATGAACATCGATGCGAAAATCCTCAATAAAATACTGGCAAACCCAATCCAGCAGCACATCAAAAAGCTTATCCACCATGATCAAGTGGGCTTCATCCCTGGGATGCAAGGCTGGTTTAACATACACAAATCAATAAACGTAATCCAGCATATAAACAGAACCAACGACAAAAACCACATGATTATCTCAATAGATGCAGAAAAGGCCTTTGACAAAATTCAACAACCCTTCATGCTAAAAACTCTCAATAAATTAGGTATTGATGGGACGTATCTCAAAATAATAAGAGCTATTTATGACAAACCCACAGCCAATATCATACTGAATGGGCAAAAACTGGAAGCATTCCCTCTGAAAACTGGCACAAGACAGGGATGCCCTCTCTCACCATGCCTATTCAACATAGTGTGGGAAGTTCTGGCCAGGGCAATCAGGCAGGAGAAGGAAATAAAGAGTATTCAATTAGGAAAAGAGGAAGTCAAATTGTCCCCGTTTGCAGATGACATGTTTGTATATCTAGAAAACTCCATTGTCTCAGCCCAAAATCTCCTTAAGCTGATAGGCAACTTCAGCAAAGTCTCAGGATACAAAATCAATGTGCAAAAATCACAAGCATTCTTATACACCAGTAACAGACAAACAGAGAGCGAAATCTTGAGTGAACTCCCATTCACAATTGCTTCAAAGAGAATAAAATACCTAGGAATCCAACTTACAAGGGACGTGAAGGGCCTCTTCAAGGAGAACTACAAACCACTGCTCAATGAAATAAAAGAGGATACAAACAAATGGAAGAACATTCCATGCTCATGGGTAGGAAGAATCAATATCGTGAAAATGGCCATACTGCCCAAGGTTATTTATAGATTCAGTGCCATCCCCATCAAGCTACCAATGCCTTTGTTCACAGAATTGGAAAAAAACTACTTTAAAGTTCATATGGAACCAAAAAAGAGCCCGCATTGCCAAGTCAATCCTAAGCCAAAAGAACAAAGCTGGAGGCATCATGCTACCTGACTTCAAGCTATACTACAAGGCTACAGTAACCAAAACAGCATGGTACTGGTACCAAAACAGATATATAGACCAATGGAACAGAACAGAGCCCTCAGAAATAATGCCGCATATCTACAAACATCTGATCTTTGACAAACCTGAGAAAAACAAGCAATGGGGAAAGGATTCCCTATTTAATAAATGGTGCTGGGAAAACTGGCTAGCCATATGTAGAAAGCTGAAACTGGATCCCTTCCTTACACCTTATACAAACATTAATACAAGATGGATTAAAGACTTAAATGTTAGACCTAAAACCATAAAAACCCTAGAAGAAAACCTAGGCAATACCATTCAGGACATAGGCATGGGCAAGGACTTCATGTCTAAAACACCAAAAGCAATGGCAACAAAAGCCAAAACTGACAAATGGGATCTAATTAAACTAAAGAGCTTCTGCACAGCAAAAGAAACTACCATCAGAGTGAACAGGCAACCTACAAAATGGGAGAAAATTTTTGCAATCTACTCATCTGACAAAGGGCTAATATCCAGAATCTACAATGAACTCAAACAAATTTACAAGAAAAAAACAAACAACCCCATCAACAAGTGGGCAAAGGACATGAACAGACAGTTCTCAAAAGAAGACATCTATGCAGCCAAAAAACAGATGAAAAAATGCTCATCATCACTGGCCATCAGAGAAATGCAAATCAAAACCACAATGAGATACCATCTCACACCAGTTAGAATGGCGATCATTAAAAAGTCAGGAAGCAACAGGTGCTGGAGAGGATGTGGAGAAACAGGAACACTTTTACACTGTTGGTGGGACTGTAAACTAGTTCAAACATTGTGGAAGTCAGTGTGTTGATTCCTCAGGGATCTAGAACTAGAAATACCATTTGACCCAGCCATCCCATTACTGGGTATATACCCAAAGGATTATAAAACATGCTGCTATAAAGACACATGCACACGTATGTTTATTGCGGCACTATTCACAATAGCAAAGACTTGGAACCAACCCAAATGTCCAACAATGATAGACTGGATTAAGAAAATGTGGCACATATACACGATGGAATACTATGCAGCCATAAAAAATGATGAGTTCATGTCCTTTGTAGGGACATGGATGAAGCTGGAAAACATCATTCTCAGCAAACTATCACAAGGACAAAAAACCAAACACCATGTGTTCTCACTCATAGGTGGGAATTGAACAATGAGAACACATGGACACAGGAAGGGGAACATCACACACCGGGGCCTGTTGAGGGGTGGGGGGCAGGGGGAGGGATAGCATCAGGAGATATACCTATTGTTAAATGATGAGTTAATGGGTGCAGCACACCAATATGGCACATGTGTACATATGTAACTAACCTGCACATTGTGCACATGTACCCTAAAACTTAAAGTATACTAAAAAAAAAACAAAACAAAACAAATACATGTTACAACTATGGGATGTGTTTTTTGTAAGCCCCATGGTAACTACATAGCAAAAAACTATAATGAATTCACCAAATGAAAAGCAACGAAATAAAACATACTACCAAAGAAAATCATTTAACCACAAAGGAAGATGGAAGAAAGGAAAGAAGGAATTAGACAACTAGAAAACAAGTAACAAAATGTCAGCAGTAAGTCCTTACCTGTCAAAAACACTGAAAGTAAATGGAATAAATTCTTCAATTAAAAGACATAATAGAGTGGCTGCATGGATTGAAAAAAAAAACAAGACCCAATGATATGCTGCCGAGAACAAACTCACTTCTATGAAGACACACAGGAATTGAAAGTGAAGGGATGGATAAGACTATTCCATGTAAGTGGAAACCAAAAAAGAACAGGAGCAGCTATCCTTATGTAAAATAGACTTTAAGTAAAGAACTGTAAGAAGAGAAAGACAAGGTTATTGTAGAATGATAACAAGGTCAATTTAGCAACAAGATATAACAATAATCAATATATATGCACCCAACACTGGAGCACCCAAATATATAAACCAAATATTAATGGGTCTAAATGAAGATATAGACCGCAACACAATAATTGTAGGGAACTTCAATACCTCACTTTTGACAATGAACAAATTATCCAGGCAGAGAACCAACAAAGAAGCATGGGAGTTAAACTACATTCCATTAATAGACCACATTGATCTAAGAAGACATTTACAGAACATTCATTCAACTGATGCAGAATACACGTTCTTCTTGTCAGCACATGCAATATTTTCCAGGATTAACCATATGCTAGGACACAAAACAAGTCTCAGCAAATTCACAAAAGTAGAAATCATACCAAGTATCTTTTCTTATCACAACAGAATAAACCTAGAAATCAGTAACAAGAAGAATGTTAGAAACTTACAAATACATGGAAATTAAACAACATGCTTCTAAACAACCAATAGGTCAATGAAGAAAATAAGAAGAAAATTTAAAAAATTTATTGAAATAAATGGAAATGGAAGCACAACATATCAGAATCTATGAGATACAGTAAAATTGGTACTAAGATGAAGTGTATAGCAATAAATGCCCACATCAAAAAAATAGGAAGACTCCAAATAAACAACCTAATGATGCACCTCAAGGAACTGGAAAAGAACAAACCAAATCCCAAATTAGTAGACAAAAAGTAATAATAAATATCAGAACAGAAATAAGTGAATTTGAGACTAAGAAAATAAAGATTAACAAAATGTAAAGTTGGTTTTTTGAAAATATAAACGACATTGACATACTTTTACCTGGACTGATTAATAAGAAAGAGAGTAGGCACAAAATAAATAAAATCAGAGACAAACAGAAACATTGTAACTGATGCTACAGAAATACAAAGATCATTAGAGACTACTATGAACAATTACATGCCAACACATTGGAAAACCTAGAAGAAATGGAGAAATTCCTGGATACATACCACCTAGCAAGATTGAATCATGAAATAATTAAAAACCTTAACAGATCATTAATGAGTAACAAGATAGAGGTAGTAATAAAAATCTTCCATCGAAGGAAAACCCAGAACCCTATGGCTTCACTGCTGAATTCTATGAGACATTTAAAGAAGAATGAACACCAATTCTACTGAATTCTTCAGAAAATTGAAGAGGTGAACTACTTCCAAACTTATTACATGATACCAGCATTTCCCTGATGCCAAAGCCAGAAAAGAACACAACAACAACATTTTTCCGACTAATATCTCTGATGAACATACATGTTCCTCAAGAAAACACCAGCAAACTGAATTCAACAACACATTAAAAAGATCATTCACCATGATCAAGTGGAAATTATCCCATGGATGCAAAGATGGTTCAACATAAGCAAACAAATAAACATGATACATTATCAACATAATCAAAAGCAGAAATCATATGGTCATTTCAATCATATTGAAAAAGCATTCAATAAAATTCAACTTCCTTTTATAAGAACCCTCAATAAATTGGGTATGGAAGAAGCATACTTCAACAACATGATAAAGGACATATATGATAAGCCCACAGCTAATATCATACTAAATGGGGAAAAATCGAAAGCCTTTTGTAGGAAAACAGCCTGTTATATGGCAAAGAGTGATGCCATCAGGACTGATTTTTCTTTTTAATTATACTTAAGCTCTGGGATATATATGCAGCACGTGCAGGTTTGTTACATAGGTATACATGTGCCATGGTGGTTTGCTGTACCCATCAACCCCATCATCTACATTGGATATTTCTCCTAATGCTATCCCTCCCCTTACCCTCTACCCCCCAACAGGCCCCAGTGTGTGATGTTCCCATTTCTGTGCCCATATGTTCTCATTGTTCAACTCCCACTTATGAGTGAGAACATACAGTGTTTGATTTTCTGTTCCTGTGTTAGTTTGCTGAGAATGATGGTTTCCAGCTTTGTCCATGTCCCTGCAAAGGACATGAACTCATTCTTTTTTATGACTGCACAGCATTCCATGGTGTATATATGCCACATTTTCTTTATCCAGTCTATCATTAATGGGCATTTGGGTTGGTTCCAAGTCTTTGCTATTGTGAATAGTGCTGCAATAAACATACGTGTGCATGTATCTTTATAGTAGAATGATTTATAATCCTAATCCTTTGGGTATATACCCAGTAATGGGTTTGCTGGGTCAAATGGTATTTCTAGTTCTAGGTCCTTGAGGAATCACCACACTGTCTTCCACAATGGTTGAACTAATTTACACTCCCACCAACAGTGTAAAAGCCTTCCTATTTCTTCACATCCTCTCCAGCATCTGTTGTTTCCTGACTTTTTAATGATCACCATTCTAACTGGTGTGAGATGGTATCTCATTGCAGTTTTGATTTGTGTTTCTCTAATGACCAGTGACGATGAGCTTTTTTTCATATGTTTCTTGGCCGCATAAACGTCTTCTTTTGAAAAGTTTCTGTTCATATAATTCGCCCACTTTTTGCTGGGTTTGTTTTCTTCTTGTAGATTTGTTTAAGTTTCTTGTAGATTCTGGATATTAGCCCTTTGTCAGACGGATAGATTGCAAAAATGTTCTCCCATTCTGTAGGCTGCCTATTCACTCTGATAGTTTCCTTTGCTGAGCAGAAGCTCTTTAGTTTAATTAGATCCCATTTGTAAACTTTGGCTTTTGTTGCAGTTGTTTTTGGTGTTTTAGTCATGAAGTCTTTGCCCATGTCTATGTCCTGAATGGTATTGCCTAGGTTTTCTTCTAGGGTTTTCATGGTTTTAGGTTTTATGTTTAAGTCTTTAATCCATCCTGAGTTAATTTTTGTATAAGGCATAAGGAAGGGGTCTAGATTCAGTTTTCTGCATATGGCTAGCCAGTTTTCCCAACACCATTTATTAAATAGGGAATCCTTTCCCCATTGCTTGTTTTCATCAGGTTAGTCAAAGATCAGATGGTTGTAGATATGTGGCATCAATTCTGAGGCCTCTGTTCTGTTCCATTGGTCTATATATCTATGTAGCAGTAACAAACTGTTTTGCTTACTGTAGCTTTGTAGTATAGTTTGAAGTCAGGTAGCACAATGCCTCCAGATTTGTTCTTTTGCTTAGGATTGTCTTGGCTATATGGGCTCTTTTTTGGTTCCATATGAAATTTAAAGTAGTTTTTTCCAGTTCTGTGAAGAAAGTCAATGGTAGCTTGATGGGAATAGCATTGAATCTATAAATTACTTTGGGCAGTTTGGCCATTTTCACAATATTGATTCTTCCTATCCATAAACATGGATTTTTTGTTTCCATTTGTTTTGTTCTCTCTTATTTCCTTGAGCAGTGGTTTGTTGTTCTCCTTGAAGAGGTCCTTCATATTCCTTGTAAGTTGGATTCCTAGATATTTTATTCTCTTTGTAGCAATTGTGAGTGGGAGTTTACTCATGATTTGGCTCTCTGTTTGTCTGTTATTGGTGTATAGGAATGCTTGTGATTTTTGAACTTTCATTTTGTATCCTGAGACTTTGCTGAAGTTGCTTACCAGCTTAAGGAGTTTTTGGGCTGAGATGGTAGGGTTTTCTAAATATGCAATCATGTCATCTGCAAACAGAGATAATTCGACTTCCCCTCTCTATTTATTTAAATACCCTTTATTTCTTTCTCTTGCCTGATTGCGCCAGCCAGAACTTCCAATACTATGTTGAATAGGAGTGGCAAGAGAGGGCATCCTTGTTTTGTGCTGGTTTTCAGAGGGAAAGCTTTTGCCCATTCAGTGTGATATTGGCTATGGGTTTGTCATGAATAGCTATTATTTTGAAATATGTTCATTAATACCTAGTTTATTGACTGTTTTTAGCATGAAGTGGTGGTCAATTTTATTGATGGTCTTTTCTGCATCTATTGAGATAATCATGTGGTTTTTGTTACTGGTTCTTTGATGGATTATGTTTATTGATTTGCATATGTTGAACCAGCCTTGCATCCCAGGGATGAAGCCAAATTGATCATGGTGGATGAGTTTTTAATGTGCTGCTGGATTTGGTTTCCCAGTATTGTATTGAGGATTCTTGCATAGATGTTCATGAGAGGTATTGGCCTGAAATTTTTTTTTGTTGTATCTCTGCCAGGTTTTTGTATCAGGATGATGCTGGCCTCATAAAAAGAGTTAGGGAGGAGTCCTTCTTTTTCTATTGTTTGGAAAAGTTTTAGAAGGAATGGTACCAGCTCCTCTTTGTACCTCTGGTAGAATTCGGCTCTGCATCTGTCTGGCCCTGGGCTTTTTTTGGTTGGCAGGCTATTAACTACTGCCTTAATTTCAGAACTTGTTATTGGTCTATTCAGGGATTCGACTTCTTCCTGGTTACTCTTGGGAGGGTGTATATGTCCAGGAATTTATCCATTTCTTCTAGATTGTCTAGTTTATTTGCATAGAGGTGTTTATAGCATTCTCTGATGTTAGTTTTTATTTCTATGGGATCAGTGGTGATATCCCTTTTACCATTTTTTTATTGTGTCTATTTGATTCTTCTCTCTTTTCTTCTTTATTAGTCTGGCTAGTGTTCTCTCTATTTTGTTAATCTTTTCAAAAAACCAGCTCCTGGATTGTTTTTTAAAAGGTTTTTTTGTGTCTCTATCTCCTTCAGTTCTTCTCTGATCTTAGTTATTTCTTGTCTTCTGCTAGTTTTTGAATTTGTTTGCGCTTGCTACTCTAGTTGTTTTAATTGTGATGTTAGGGTGTGGATTTTAGATCTTTCCTCCTTTCTTCTGTGGGCATTTAGTGATATAAATTTTCCTTTTAACACTGCTTTAGCTGTGTCCTAGAGATTCTGGTACATTGCGTCTTTGTTCTCCTTGGTTTCCAAGAACTTATTTATTTCTGCCTTAATTTCGTTATTTACCCAGTAGTCATTCTGGAGCTGGTTGTTCAGTTTCCATGTAGTTGTGTGGTTTTGAGTGAGTTTCTTAATCCTGAGTTCTAATTTGATTGCAATGTGGTCTGACAGACTGTTATGATTTCAATTTTTTTGCATTTGCTGAAGAGTGTTTTACTTCCAATTATGTGTCAATTTTAGGATAAGTGCTATGTGGTGCTAAGAAGAATGTATATTCTGTTTATTTGGGGTGGAGAGTTCTGTAGCTATCTATTAGGTCTGCTTGGTCCTGAGCTAAGTTCAAGTCCTGAATATCCTTGTTAATTTTCTCTCTTCCTGATCTGTCTAATATTGACAGTGGTGTGTTAAAGTCTCCCACTATTATTGTGTGGGAGTCTAAGTCTCTTTGTAGGTCTCTAAGAATTTGTTTTATGAATCTGGGTGCCCCTGTATTGGCTGCATATATATTTAGGATGGTTAGCTCTTCAAGTTGCATTGATCCCTTTACTATTATGTAATGCCCTTCTTTGTCGTTTTTGATCTTTGTTGGTTTAACGTCTGTTTTATCATAGACTAGGATTGCAGCCCCTGCTTCTTTTTGCTTTCCATTTGCTTGGTAAATCTTCCTCCATCCCTTTATTTTGAGACTATATGTGTCTTTGCCCATGAGATGGGTCTCCTGAATATAGCACACTGATGGGTCTTGACTCTTTTTGCAATTTGCCAGTCTGTGTCTTTTAATTGAGGCATTCATCCCATTTACATTTAAGGTTAATATTGTTATGTGTGAAGTTGATCCTGTCATTTTGATGTTAGCTGTTTATTTTGCCCATTAGTTGATGCAGTTTCTTGATTGTTTTGCTGGTCTTTACATTTTGGTATGTTTTTGCAGTGGCTGGTACTGATTTTTCCTTTCCATGTTTAGTGCTTCCTTCAGGAGCTCTTGTAAGGCAGGCCTGGTGGTGACCAAATCCCTCAGCATTTGCTTGTTTGTAAAGGATTTTATTTCTCCTTCACTTATGAAGCTGAGTTTGGCTGGATATGAAATTCTGGGTTGAAAATTCTTTTCTTTAAGAATGTTGAATATTGGCTCTCACTCTCCTCTTGATTTCTAGGGTTTCTGCAGAGAGATCTGCTGTTAGTCTGATGGGCTTCTCTTTGTGGGTAACCCAATCTTTCTGTCTCTCTGGTTACCCTTAATATTTTTTCCTTCATTTCAATCTTGGTGAATCTGATGATTATGTGTCTTGGTGTTTCTCTTCTCGAGGAGTATCTTAGTGGTGTTCTCCGTATTTCCTGAATTGGAATGTTGGCCTGTCTTGCCAGGTTGTGGCAGTTCTCCTGGATAATATCCTGAAGTGTGTTTTCCCACTTGGTTCCATTCTTCCTGTCACTTTCAGGGACCCCAATCAATTGTAGGTTTGGTCGTTTCACATAGTCCCATATTTCCTGGAGGCTTTGTTCATTCCTTTCCATTCATTTTTCTCTAATCTTGTCTTCATGCCTATTTCAGTAAGTTGATCTTCAATCTCTGATACCCTTTCTTCTACTTGATCGATTCAGCTATTTACACTTGTGTATGCCTCATGAAGTTCTTGTGCTGTGTTTTTCAGCTCCATCAGGTCATTTATGTTCTTCTCTAAACTGGTTATTCTAGTTAGCAGTTCTTGTAACCTTTTAACATTTCTTAGCTTCCTTGTATCGGGTTAGAACATGCTCCTTTAGCTTGGAGGAGTTTGTTCTTACCCACTTTCTGAAGCCTACTTCTGTCAATTCCTCAAACTCATTATCTGTCCAGTTTTTTTCCCTTGCTGGCAAGGAGTTTTGATCCTTTGGAAGAGAAGAGGCATTCTGGTTTTTCAAATTTTCAGCCTGTTTGCTCTGGTTTTTCCTCATCTTTGTCGATTTGTCTACCTTTGGTCTTTGATGTTGGTGACCTTCAGATGGGTTTTTTGAGTGGTTGTCCTTTTTGTTGATGTTGATGCTATTGCTTTTGTTTGTTAGTTTTTCTTCTAACAGTCAGGCCCCTCTTCTGCAGGTATGCTGGAGTTTGCTGGTGGTCCACTCCAGACCCTGTTTGCCTGGGTATCACCAGGGAGGCTGCAGAACAGCAAAGATTGCTGTCTGCTCCTTCCTCTGGAAGCTTCGTCCCAGAGGGGCACCTGTCACATGCCACCCAGAGCTTTCCTATATGAAGTGTCTGTAGTCCCCTGCTGGGAGGTGTCTCCCCATCAGAGGCACGGGGCTCAGGGACCCACTTGAGGAGGCAGTCTGTCCCTTAGCAGAGCTTGAGTGCTGTGCTAGGAGATCTTCTGCTCTCTTCAGAGCTGGCAGGCAGGAATGTTTAGGTCTGCTGAAGCTGTGCCCACAGTTGCTACTTTCCCCAGGTGCTCTGTCCCAAGGAAATGGGAGTTTTATGTATAAGTGCCTGACTGGGGCTACTGCCTTTCTTTCAGAGATGCCCTGCCCAGAGAAGAGGAATCTAGAGAGGCAGTCTGGCTACAGTGGCTTTGTGGTGCTGCAGTGGGCTCTGCCCAGTCTGAACTTCTTGACGGCTTTGTTTACCCTATGAGAGGATAACGGGCTACTCAAGCCTCAGTAATGGTGGATGCCCCACCCCCACCAAGCTCAAGTGTCCCAGGTCAACTTCAGACTGCTGTGCTGGCAGCTTGAATTTCAAGCCTGTGGATCTTAGCTTGTTGAGCTCCATGGGGGTGGGATCCACTAAGCAAGACCACTTGGCTCCCTGGCTTCAGCCCCCTTTCCAGGGGAGTGAATGGTTCTGTCTTGCTGGTGTTCCAGGCACCACTGGGGTATGAAAAAAAAAACTCCTGCAGCTAGCTCATTGTCTGCCCAAATGGCCTCCCAACTTTGTGCTTGAAACCCAGGGCCCAGGTCGTGTAGGTGCCCGAGGGATTCTCCTGGTCTGTGGGTTGCAAAGACAGTGGGAAAAGCATAGTATCTGGGCCAGATAGCTCCATCCCTCACAGCACAGTCCCTCAGAGCTTCCCTTGGCTAGGGGAGAGAGTTCTCTGACCCCTTGCACTTCCCAGGTGAGGCAATGCCCCACACTGCTTCTGCTTGCCTTCTGTGGGCTGCACTCACTGTCTAACCAGTCCCAGTGAGATGAGCCAGGTACCTCAGTTGGAAATGCAGAAATAACCTCCCTTCTGTGTTGGTCTCACTGGGAGCTGCAGACCAGAGCTGTTCCTATTTGGCCACCTTGCCTGGGCAACCATGACTGGTGTTTGACTCCTGCTTACCAAAGCATTCCTGTAGCATAGATTATCCTTTTAAGTGTTCTACCTTCCAGCTATGCCTGCTATTCATAAATTAAATAATTGAAAGCTGAATGCTTTCTTTGCCCTATTTATTAAAGGCCTTGCAACAATTTGAATATATGACCTTTCAAACCTCATGATGAAACTTTATTCCTAGAATGGGTATGGTGGCTCATATCTGTAATCCCAGCACTTTGGGAAGCCAAGGTGGGGAGGATCTCTTGAGGTCAGGAGTGCAAGACCAGCCTAGGATAAAATGTGAGATCCTGTATTTACAAAAAATAAAAATAAAGGTGAAAAATATTTTAAAAATTGATCCCCCTTGTTGGAGGTGGGGCCTAATGGGACACTTTTGGGTCATGGGGGTGGATCCCTCATGAATGGCTTAGTGCTGTTTTTGTGGTAATGAGAGAGTCCTCACTCTATTAGTTCCCACAAAATCTAGTAGTTGAAAAGAGCCTGGCACAGGCGCGTGGCTCATGCCTGTAATCCCAACACTTTGGGAGGCCGAGACGGGTGGATCACGAGGTCAGGTCAGGAGATTGAGACCATCCTGGCTAACACGGTGAAACCCCGTCTCTACTAAAAATACAAAAAAATTAGCCAGGTGTGGTGGCGGGCACCTGTAGTCCCAGCTACTTGGGAGGCTGAGGCAGGAGAATGGCGTGAACCCGGGAGGCGGAGCTTGCAGTGAGCAGAGATTGCGCTACTGCACTCCAGCCTGGGCGACAGAGCGAGACTCTGTATCAAAAAAAAAAAAAAAAAGAGCCTGGCACCTCCCTTCCTTCTTTCCTGCTTACTCTCTTGCCATGTGATCTCTGCACACCAGCAACCCTTCACCGTCCATTATGAGTAGAAGCAGGTTGAAGCCCTTACCAGAGGCAAATGCTGGCACCATGCTTTTTGTACAGTCTGCAAAATCATGTGTCAAATAATCCTCTTTTCTTTATAAATTACCCAGCCTCAGGTATTCCTTTATGACAACACAAATTGACAAAGACAGGGCTTAAGTCAGTAATCTAATTAAGAAGCAAGCTAAACTGAAAGAAAAACCATGTATAAAACTAAATCGGTCTCTAAAATACAACTTTCTGGCATTTAGCTGGCTATTTTGAAACTCTGGCTGGCTATTTTGTAAAAGGAATTCACATTTATAAAGGAAATCTGCAGTTGTAAGGGCATCTCCCTCTCCACACCTAAAGCACTAGAAACTATTACAGTGGGGAAGACAGAAGACATTGGCTTAAAGTTTACATAACAAATCTTATTTTTGTTTAAGATATGTTTCCTGGCAATCATGTCTTGCCTGGACTTTTGTCTATGCCCTTCTTTGTCTCAGCAGATTGTGGTGTTTAGAGCTAAGTTCTGTGCCTTTATGATGTAAATTTTTACCCAAGAGTCATGTCTTGGGAAGTATAAACTTAGGGCTGCCTAGCTAACAATTGTTTAGAGCAATTGAACAGGTAATTAAAAGATGGATACTCTAAGGGGTGGGGAGATACTATTTGAACACAGGTAAATGAAGAATCTTATAAAGTTATTATGATCGGCTTCCATGTGTCTGTGTGTCTATATGTTTATATGTGTCATGTGTATATGATATTTCGCTACCAAAATATGGAAAGAAGCTCTAATAATTGGCTTAAAGAAAAGGTAAGCAATTAAATCAAATATTTTATCAGGAAAAATAGAAACTCACTGAAATGCCTTTTAGTTCATGTGAGTTTAGTAATCTTTGGTAAATATAACTAATTTTTAAGTTGTTAGTAAAATAGAAATGTCTTCAGAATTGTCGGAATTAAATATAACTCAGATATTTTTACTTGGATCTACTTGTTGGACAGGTTTAGGCTATCTCTGCTGGATTTTCTCAAGGTCATAAAACTTGCTTCTGTGATTTTCGATACTTGTCAGACTTGTCTGTGACTTTTTTATTTTATTTTGAGACGGAGTCTCGCTCTGTAGCCCAGACTGGAGTGCATGGCGTGATCTCTGCTCACTGCAAGCTCCGCCTCTCAGGTTCACGCCATTCTCCTGCCTCAGCCTCCCAAGTAGCTGGGACTACAGGCGCCCGCCACCTCGCCTGGCTAATTGTTTTGTATTTTTAGTAGAGACGGGGTTTCACCATGTTAGCCAGGATGGTCTCCATTTCCTCACCTTGTGATCTGCCACTTTGGCCTCCCTAAGAGCTGGGATTACAGGCATGAGCCACCGCGCCCGGCCTTGTCTGTGACTTAATGTCTTAGAGTCATTAGATTCAAGGCTTTAAACAAATGGCCATGGTAAGGCATGGGGATGTATATGGAGTTCTCTCTGGCCCACCTGTGCCTCCTGGCTATGCTGGGAAAGGTTAGACGTTATCTTCACAACTGTTTTCTCTGTTCTGAGCTCTACACTTGGTGTATAAATTTAGGACTCAGATAAGTCCTGACCTTTACAGTCATCCTTGCATGCGACATGTGTACTTGGGACCCATGGTGACTAAGGAAGAGATTAGGGAGGGTACCTGTGTCATAGTTTCAAAATTATTTTTATTAATTAAAAATATTAAAGTCATGTTATGTTAAATTAAGTAATAGAAAATCATTAAATGTCAGAGTCATTTGTATGGTATAGAAAAGCTAAATATGGTATGGGAAAGCTAAATATAAATATTGATATAAAACAGTTCAAAATTACTTCCTCCTAGTTAATATTTGTAACTAAAACTATCAGATATAAGAGAGACAATTCTATATACAGAGTGTGAGAAAGCAAGATGTGTTTTTGGTGAAGAAGTTTATCAAAAAGACATGAGGATGTGGTTTTTGCTAAAGGAAAAGTAATTTTATATAGTGTAGAGGTTAAAGTTTGTTTCATAATGATAAACAAAATCTTATACATAAAAGTAAATGGACAAAAAGAAAATAGGTAAAAAGAAGTGGAAAAGCTACGGGACTCATCCCAACAGGGTGAGAATCTTTAGATGGCTGTTAAAAAATTGAATGAATAAAATAGAAATTGAAAGAGTTAAAACAATAGTCTTAATACAACACTGTTGAAGTTTATGTGAACCAAAGGAAGCCCATCCTGGTTCCCCAATGTTAAAAGGCCCCAAACCAGTTTGCTGCATTTCTCCTAGGCTGGAGAAATTTTAAAAGCTGTAAGACCAAGATTATAATAAGAAAGCTGACCCAGAATTTCTTACGTAAGTGCTGAGGCAGGTTAGTCAAGATAAAGATTGACAAAAGGGCCATGGTTACTTGGCTTAAACCTCTGCTATGGGCCCAAAGCCTTTTGTACAAGAGAGAGTAAAATGATCTGGGGGTGGAGAGAAGTTTTTGAGACTAGAACATAAAAATGTAAGGGTTGAGAGGATTATAAAAGTTGGAATGTTTCAATAGGCTCTATATATGGTAGCTATGTCTCCTTTATGTAAATTTTTTAGATAAAGGCCTGGCACCTTGTTTACATGAGTCTCTTACAAGGTTTTTGACCTTGCAGTTAATTAAAGAATTTCACTTTCTGAACCAAAAAGGAGCCTGAATAACCAAAGCAATTCTAAACAAAAATAACAAGGCTGGAAGCGTCACATTACCTGACTTGAAATTATACAACATGTCTGTAGTAACCAAAACAACATGGTACTGTTATAAAAATAGACACATAGATCAATGAAACAGAATAGAGAACCCAGAAATAAAGCCACATACTTATAATCAGTTGATCTTTTGCAAAGTTAACAGAAACATGCACTGGGGAAAGGATATCCTATTCAATAAATGGTGCTGGGAAAATTAGCTTGCCATATGCGGAAGAATGAAACTGGACCCATCTCTTACCATATACAATAGTTAACTCAACATTCATTACAGACTTAAATGTGAGTCCTCAAATTAAAAATTTTAGAAGAAAACATAGGAAAAAGTCTTTTGGACATTGGCCTAGGCAAATAATTCATGACTAAAACCTGAAAAGCAAATGCAACAAAAACAAAAATAAACAAATGGAACTTCATTAAACTAAAAAGCTTCTGTGTAGCAAATAAAATAATTAACAGAATATAAAGACAACTTTCAACAAAAGACTAGTATCCAGGATTTACAAGGAACTCAAACAACTCAACAGGAAAAAACCAACAAACAAGTTAACCCCATTAAAAAGTGGGCAAAGGATATGAACAGATATTTTCAAAAGAGGACATACAAATGGCCAAGAAGTGTACAAAAAAATGTTCAACATCACTAATCATCAGAGAAACACAAATGAAAACCACAGTAAGATGCCATGTCATATCAGTCAGAATGGCTATTATTAAAAAGTCAAAAAACAACAAATGTTGGTGAAGATGTGGAGAAAAGGGAATGTTTACACCCTGCTGGTGGGAATGTAAATTAGTCCAGCCTCTGTGGAAAGTAGTATGGAGATTTCTCAAAGAACTAAAAATTGAACTACCATTCAATCCAGCAATCTCACTATTGCATGTGTACCTAAAGAAAAAGAAATCATTATATCAAAAAGATGCCTGCACTCATATGTTTATCACAGCACTATACACAACAACAAAGATATGGAGTCAACCTATGTGTCCATCAATGGAGGACTGAAGAAAATATTATATAAAATATATATACACACACACACACACATTGTACTACTCAGCCATAAAAACAATGAAATAACATCTTTTGCAACAACATGGATGAAACTGGAGGCCATTATCCTCAGTGAAATAACTTAGAAATACTCAAATACCACATGTTCTCACTTATAAATGAGAGCTAAATAATGCATACACATGGACATAGAGAGTGGGATAATAGACACTAGAGACTTGGAAGACTGGGAGGGTGAGAGGGGAGTGAGGAATGAGAAATTACCTAATGGGTACACTGTACACTATACAAATGATGATTATGTTAAAAGCCTAGATTTCACCACTACACAGTATATCAATGCAATAAACTGCATTCATATCCCCCAAATCTGTATAAACAAAGAATGTCACTTTCTGACAGGCCCAGGAACCTCAAGATATTTCTGGACCTTAAGAAGAGAGGAATTCACTCAATTCATACAATTATAAGCATGGTCTGATGATACAACCTTGGCTTGGCTTCCTAGTCTCAAGGCTTTTGACAGTCTAATCTAAAATCCTTAAGAAAGTTTCAGCAAAGCCAACACAAAAAAGTTTGATATGGTCAATCACTATTCTTGCTGCACTTTATGCAAATAATCAGGCCAAATTATTATTATTATTAATTATTATTTTTTTGAGATGGAGTCTCGCTCTGTCGCTAGGCTGGAATGCAGTGGCGATCTCGGCTCACTGCAACCTCTGACCCCCTGGTTCAAGTGATTCTCCTCCCTCAGCCTCCAAAGTAATGGGATTACAGGCACCCACCACCCCCAGCTAATTTTTGAATTTTTAATAGAGACGGGGTTTCACCATGTTGGCCAGAATGGTCTCGATCTCCTGACCTCGTGGATCCACCCATAATCAGGCCAAATTATTTTGGAAAAAAATTGATCTATGATTTCTCTTTGGTAGAAAAGGGGGACTGGAGAAGGAAAAATTATGTTTCAGAATAAAACTATAGCCTACCAGTTATTAGATTTCAGCCCTAACCATTATTTTTGAGTTTTTATTGTTTTCCTACAATTTAGACTGACTCCTGAATTATTTCCTGGCTATACAAAGAAAAAACAATCAAGCTTTAGTTTTCTTCATGATATTTTCAGTTGGCTCCCTAATAGAATAGGTTCTTTTAAAAATTCTGAGGCATGAATAGCTGCACATAATTTTACCCTAAAAGCTTGCTATATAATGGATAGTTTCTAAGGGACAGGTGCTGGACCCACCATCTCTCGGCCACCAAAGACATTGCTGTTGTTTATAAGTAACTAAGAAATGTTTCTTTCTGAGGAACTGGATTTGTCAGCCTCTTTCTTTAGCCTCTCAGCTACCTCAGACTTTGGGGGTAGGCTTGCATATACCTGCTCACAATGAAACACTTTCCCGCTAAAATCTGGAACAAAACAAGAATTCCCGCATTCACCACTTTTATTAAACATAGTACCGGAAGTCACAGCTAGAGCAATTAGGCAAGAGAAAGAAATAAAGGGCATCCAAGTTGTAAAGAAAGAAGTCAAATTATTCTTATTCCAGGTGACATGACCTTGTATGTAGAAAAACCTAAAGGCTCCACCAAAAAAACTCTTAGAACAGATAAATGAATGAATTCATTAACATTGCAGGATACAAAATCAACATAAAAATCAATAGCATTTCTATATGCTAACAATGATCAATCTGAAAAATAAATCAAGAAAGCAATCTCACTTACAGTAGCTATGAAAGAAAAAATTTACCTAGGAATAAATTTAACCAAAGAGATGAAAGATCCCTTGAAGGGAAACTATAAAACACTTATGAAAGAAATTGAAGATAACACAAAAATTGGAAAGATATCCCATGTTCATGGATTGGAAGAATATTGTTAAAATGTCTACACTACCCAAAGCAATCAACATATTCAATTCAATCCCTATCAAAATATCAATGATATCTTCATGAAAATAGGAAAAAATCCTAAAATTCAAAAGAAATTACAAAAGACCTTGAGTAGCTAAAGTAAACCTGTGTAAAAAGAATAAAGCTGGAGGAATCACACTCTCTGATTTCAAATTATACTACAAAGCTGTTATAACCAAAACAGCATGACACTGGCATAAAAACAGAAACATAGGCCAATGGAACAGAATAGAGAACCTAGAAATAAATCCATGCACTTACAGCCAATTCATTTTTTACGAAGGTACCTAGAACATACATTGGGAAAAGGACAGTCGTTTTAGTAAATGTTGCTGGAAAACTGGATAGCCACATAAAGAAGAATGAAACTAGATATCTGTCTTTCCCCATGTACAAAAATCAACTCAAAATGGATTAAATACTTAAATATAAGACCTGAAACTACGAAACTACTAGAAGGAAATATTGGGGAAATGTTATAAGACATTGGTCTGGCCAATTTTTTTTTAAGACCTCAAAGGCACAGACAACAAAAAGCAGAAATAGACAAATATGATTAAATCAAGCTAAAAAGTTTCTGCACAGTGAAGGAAACAAAAAGTGAAGGGACTTACAGACTGGGAAAAAATATGTGCAAAGCATCCATCTGACAAGGGATTAATCATCAAAATGTATAAGGGACTCAAGTCAATAGCAAAAAAACAAATGATTCGATTTAAAAAATGGGCAAAAGACCTGAATAGATATTTCTCAAAAGAAGACATAGAAATGGCTGACAGGTATATACAAAAATGTTCATCATCACTAATCATTAGGGAAAAGTAAATCAAAACCACAACGAGATATCACCTCATCCTATTTAGAATGATTATCCAAAAGACAAAAAATATTAAATGCTGATAAGGATGAAGAGAAAGGAATGGTCAGGTGAGAATGTAAAGTAGTACAGTCATTATGAAAAACAGTAGGGAGGTTACTCAAAAAATTAAAAATAGAACTACTTTATGATCCAGCATTCCCACTGCTGGGTATATGTCCAAAAGAAAGGAAATGAATATACTGAAGAGATATCTGCACTCCCACGCTTATTGCAGCACTATTCACAACAGCTAAGATGTGAAATCTGCCTGTGTCCATCAACAGATGGATGTATTAAAAATGTGGTACATATACACAGTGGAATATTAGCCATAGGAAGAATGAAATCCCATCATTTGTGGCAACATTGTGGGAACTGGAGGACATTAAGTGAAATAAGTCAGGCACAGAAAGACAAATAGTACTTTTTCTCACTCATATGTGGAGCTAAAAAAGTGGATTTTATGGAGGTGGAGAGTGGACTGGTGGTTACTAGAAGCTGGGAAGGGAGTGGGGGGATCAAGAGAAGCTGGTTGATGAGTACAAAAATATTGTTAGACAGAAGGAGTAAGGTATAATATTCGATAGTAGAGAAATTGTAGTTAACACTAATTTTTTTGTATATTTCAAAAGAGATAGAAGAATTAGGTTTCCAACACAAAGAGAAACATTTAAAGTGATGGATATACTATTTACCCTGATTTGATCATTACATGTTGTATACACGTATCAGAAAATTACATGTACCCTCAAAATACGTACAACTATGATATATCAATAAAAATACATAAAAATAAATAACTAAATAAAAAATAAAAAACTCCACATTAGCACTTATATTTAAAATACTCCACCTAAAGGACAACTTAAAAAGAAAAAGTGTAACCGTTTCAAAATACCAAAGCAGTCAGTGATTTTAGGAACTATGGGAGGCAGCTTTTTATCAGATAAGACTAAGAGAATATTGCTGGTAGATGTATTAAGGTACTTCAGCCCTGCACCCAGTGTTCCTATGTATTTGTCTGTGGTTATTATTCAACAGCAGGTTATACATCTATAAAACTTGTTTCAAGTTATTAAATAAACTAAAAGAAAATTTTCAGTTGACATAAAAGTTATAAAGCATGCTGAGTTTTTTTGCTATGTTCTTTATCCTTAAATAGAATTTAATTCCCCACTTATTAGTGTTTGTCCTATATGGTGACAAATCTACAATAATGTAATAGTATTTGCTGTTTGGTTTATTTATAATATAAAGTTATAGAAATATAACTTTATTTTATATACATTTATATTATTTTTACTAAGTATTCATAAATTGTTTTATTTATTTTTGAGACAGAGTCTTGCTCTGTTGCCTAGGCTGGAGTGCAGTGATGCAATCTCGGCTCACTGCAACCTCTGCCTGCCGGGTTAAAGTGATTCTCCTGCCTCAGCCTCCCAAGTACCTGGGACTACAGCTGTGTGCCACCGTGCCTGGCTAATTTTTGTATTTTTAGTAGAGGCAGGGTTTCACCATGTTGGCCAGGCTGGTCTCGAACTCCGGACCTCAAGTGATCCATCCACCTGGGCCTCCCAAAGTGCTGTGATTACAGGTGTGAGGCACCATGCCCAGCCTATAAACTGTTTTAGATAAATTATGCCTGTTCATTTGGCATTTTGCAGGTGCTCATGCAAAAAATATATCAAATCCAGCAGGTAGATGATTTCAGTGACATTTCTATTATTTGAAGAATATTGTTATTACAAAAATACTGTTTTCATAATCACCTCTGAAAACTTCCATTTAAACATTAAACATAATTTATTTAAACATTTTAATACCTGCACTACACTTTAGACCACTTAAAAATAATAAACGTTCTATATTTTCTGTTTGTCATTTTTCTCCTTTATGTTAAGATTTTGTTAAATTATTTTCCCTAGGTGCTTCATAGTTTTGGATGTTAACATAAATGGTACTTAAATTTTTTTTTGTAGCCTCTTTTTTCATTGCTGTGTTGAAACGCAATAGATTTTTTGTCTGGTATTATATCTGCTAAATTCCAGTTCAAATAATGTGTCTGTAGATTAGTATAAGTTATCTCTATATATCATGTCATCTATGATAATTACAGATTTGTTTTCTTTTTCTACCCACGTGGTTTAATTTTTATTCTTGTCTTGCTGGCTATGACTTCAGAACAGTGTTGAATTGGTGGTAACAGACAACTTGGTCTTCTTCCTGACCTTGAGGGAAACATGTTCAATATTTCCCCACAAAGTATGATGTGTGCTGTAAAATGTTTACCTTATAATTGTTCAACCTATTGACATTCTGAGATGGAAGGGTCTCCAGGGTCCCAGAACTAGAAGAGAAGGCTAGCAGTATGGCTGCTACCCAAGATTAAGTGGCAATAGGCACTCTCATGGGGTCAGGAAGAACAAAAAAGCCTGACATTAGAGTAAATGGGTCAGTGGGGGTGTTGATAAGATGTTGAAAGATGATAGAAGGGAAAGCAGGCAGTGAGAGGCAGGGACAGGGACTGTTGGGTCACTCTCACCAATCCCAGGATTAGTCTTGGCAGGAAACCTCGATGCCTGGACAGGAGTTCCTATACCTCTGCAGAGGATACAGAGATAGGATGATTAGCACAAGGGGCCATTCCTCATTTCTGCCCACATCAGATTCTGAATCTGTCCTGTTTATTTCAATTATACCAAATGTGAAATAATCATTGAACTTTCTTTGGGGTTGCCAGGCTGGCTTTCCTGGCAGATAGTGGGAGGTAGATGACCGCACACCCCAAATTGTCAAAACTGAGCACACTTCTCCATGAGCACAAGGGTTTCAGAGATTCAAGAACCATTCTAACCATTGGGAGTAAAGGAGACTAGTACATGACTTTCATTTTCTTTAGACCTGTTTTAGAGTTTTAGAATATGTTTTTGTTTTTATTTTCTTGTAAGACGTTAAGAAATTTTAGACAAATCTAAAATCCCTCTGATACATCCTCCCTGATCCCTTTCTCCTCTCACTCTACTCCTCAGAGGAAACCACCAAACCACGATCATTAGTTTGTTGTATCTCCTTCCAGATGTTTCAGTGAATTTGTACTCATATGACTACAGAAAATATATAGTGTTATTGTGTGTGTGTGTTGAATACTATCACATTAAAGTTACATTTTCCCTGTTTACCTTTTGGAGTGTCAGTTTCCTCAAAAGGTATTTTTAGAGAAAATGTTGCAAGAACCACAGTGAAACACTTTTCTCTGGAAACGTTTGTCAGGGATGATAATGAACATGGAGGAGGAAGATGCTAATGCCATTGAAACTCAAGACTAAGAAAATTGAAAAAGGCTTAATTTATAGTGGGAACTGCATGGCAGAGAAAAGAAAAACAGCTGCCCTGAATTTCATCCATCCTTGCCCAATTCCCACAGGACACCCACACATCTTAGCAACAAGGAGTGCAAGTGAGGGCTCTGGTTGGCATCAAAATGTCTATTGTTTCCTCTCCTTAAGATAAAATCTGAATGAAGAGGCTAAATGAGTTTCCTTTAAGCATGGAAAGGCTCTTGTTCCATTGCGATAGGACTGCTGCGAAGATGAGGGATGAATATGAGGTGTGTGTTTTAAGGACTCTGCTTCCAATTATTATCATTCCTTTATTGTTGAGAAGCAGTGTCTGTATTAGAAGGATCAGGGACTGAATACTCTTCAGAAATTCATTATACTCAGCAGCCACTTTTTAACCTTTGCCTGTGAGTGATTTTTGTAATGCACTCATAGTGGACGATTTTTAAATTCTAAAGGTGAATGAAATGGCATTGTCAAAGTGGTAATGTCTATGGTGATGAGAACACTAGTGCCTGGAAATTGAGTTCTTCAAGGGAGGGATATCATGGGAAGAGTTAGAAAGAATTGTGTCTTGATTTCCAATATATTAATTTATTCAAAGAGCTTCATCTACTTATATATCAGAATCACAGAATATTAGATTCAAAAAGACATTAGAAATAATCCAGCTATTGAAATAAATTTTATGGAGATAACAAGAGAGGCAGACAGACCACATGAACAGTCCAAGGTCACACAGCTAGTTCGTGGAAAGAACAAGAAAAATCCAGGCTTCCTGAACTGAGATGGGTGCAATGGGTGTTCTCTGCAGTGTGTTGCCTCCTTAATTTGGCCATGTATCGATCCATGTATTGATTGAAGAATTCCCATAGAATGAAGCTTTTGAGAGATGGTATGGGGTAGAGGAAGGGACATTAGTTATGGGATTAGATGCTTGAATTTGAATTGTGAATCTGTCACCTGTGACTGTAGGTAAATCCCTTTACTGGCCAACCTTAGTTTGACTACCTGAAATCTTATCTTGCAGGGGTCTTGGGAGAACTAAATAAAACTCCAGGAAAGTGCCAACACAGAGCCCAGCACAGTGAAGGCTCTTGAAAAACTATAATTTCCATCTTCTCTGTTTAAAAATATGTCAAAAGGGAAGAAATAAAGGAACAGAAAAAAAAGTGAAACCTAGAAATATAGTCATGTGCAGCATAGTGACAATTTTTTCAGTGACAGGACTGCATATAGGACAGTGGTCCCATAAGATTATTATACCATTTTTTAATTGGACCTTTTCTATGTTTAGATACACAAATACTTACCATTGTGTTACAATTGCCTACAGTATTCAGTATAGTAACATGTTGTACAGGTTTATAGCCTAGGAGCAACAGGTCAAACCATATAGCCTAAGGATGCAGCAGGCTATACCATTTAGGTCTGTGTTAAGTTCACCCTGTGAAGTTCATGTAATGAAAAATCACCTAATCATGTTTCTCAGAACATATCCCTATCATTAAGTGACACATGACTTCAATTCTTATTGGAAATATCTCTGATCTTGGGATATCTATATTTTTCTTTTTTTCTTCCTTTCCTAATCTACTAATTGAAGTCACCAACAGTAACTCCAGTTGTGCCTCATCTGCAAAGTGACCTTGGGAACTCTGGCTTGCCAGGGAAGGCTGCGAGGGGTCTAATTTTATACAATGACCCAAGAAATGGTGAAGAAAGCTCTAGAACTTGTGTTTGGGCCCTGAATCACTTAGATCCAGGGATTCAGAGGGAGAGAAGGTAAAGGTCATCTCTGATTTCTTAGGAACCGCCCTCAGTGCACAGGAAACTCATTTTGAAAATGCAGAAAAATAGTTATTGTGTTTTTCCCAAGGGTGATTATTTGTTGTGGGTATAAAGGTGTGGTTTTTCGTGTGCTACTTGCTGGGGACATCAAAATGCCCCCTGATTGATCCCAGCTCCTGCAGGTTTGATGCATGATGCAGGTTTGACCATGTTTAAACCTGCCCTCTACTAGCTGTTTGGGAGTCAAGGATAAACAAGCTACATTCTCACATTTGGAGAAAATGGTCTCAATCCTTGATAGAAGGGCTGTGAGAAACCAAGCTAGAAAATCAATATGAAACAAAGTAACAGAAATAAAGACTTATGCCTCCATCTCTACTCCTGTGACCCTGATAGAAATGTGAAGGAAATGTAAATATGCTTTCATTTAGAGAAGGGGATTTTCATTTAGAGAAGCTGCTTGAACTAGCGGCACTGTTGTGGGACCAGATGCTAGAAAGGACCCACAGCACTTACTCTGAACCCTCCTCTGAAGAAAGTGGCAAAACCTCAAGACATTCCAGGAAGGAGAGAGGATTCAGGCCATGAACTATGGGGAGAAGGTGTCCCTCAGATTACAGTCTGGAAGCAATATGTCAGGTGAAGGTAGCAGCAGCAGAGGCGTTTTTACTGATTTCAAGACTTTCTCTGCAAATGAGGGTGAAAGAACCTGAAAGGAAGCTTGAGAATTCCCAGGGGTCTTGACCAGAAGGCTGGGGAGGGAGGGGTTGGCTCACAGATTCCCTGGCAGATGAACAGCAGATGGCAGCAACGAGGGACTGCTGCAGATTCTGGGTTTCTCTCTCAGCACTGAACAGAGGCACAGCCATGAATGGGATTTACAGAAAACCCACAATGAATGTTACATAGAACTGGGGTGCTGCCCCACCACAGCGTGAGGTGGAAACGGGCCCCGGGCAGGTACAGTTGCACTGGGAAGAGTCTGGCCCTACTGGCTCTGGCACCTTCCTATAAGCATCAGTGCATACTCAGAAGAGGCACAGGAGTTGCTGGGGTGAGGGTGATGACCAGTGGGGTGGGGGTTGGGGGTACCCATGACCCCATGACCATCCCTCTGGGGAAGCATCTCTCTGGTTTCAGGAGAATGTTCAAAAGTGTTCTCTAGTTTTCTAGCAATAGCTGTGGGGCTTTTAGTTGATTCTTCATACACTTGCACCAAATGTTCCATGTCTTCTATCCTGAGATCTAGATCGTGTCCCGGGGTTGGAATCTGGCAAACGTGGATGAGAATACCACAGGGGACATGAAGGCAGAGTGGAGAGAATGAATAGACATTGACCGTGATGTTAATGATGATAAGAGAGAGAAGAAAACTTGGCCAGAATCTGCTTTTACATGGCAGAAATAGTAACTGATAGCAAACTGGTACCAAAGCTGCTGGGAAGTCTGCTGGGGGAAAAGCTGTATTTGTACAGTGAAGAAAGGTACCTGCTCTCAGAGTAAGAAGGAAATAGCTTAACATGGATACTCATGGGCCAGCTAAGAGGAGTGGAAAGCCCCAGGCACCTTCCTCAGATAGCTTAAATGCCTCATGCCTGGGGGCACGCTCCCTTTATTTGATTGGAGCTGTCTCCTTGGCCTCCTCCGCCACCTTGCTGTCCCATTAGCTTTGGCTCCTTCAAGCAAATGGGTTCTCCTGGCATCTTTTCTTTATCTCTTATGCAGGTTTTTCCTTCCTACACTGTGGGCTGGCCAACCCTTCCCTCAATCTGATCCTACCTGTGATCTAGTGGAACTAATAGACATTTCTGGCTTGTGGTTTAAGGCTGTAGGAGTACGTGTTTACCTTTAAATATTTAATGGGTTTTGCCTCCCTTATACTTTTCTCTGTTCTGGATAGGGAGAAATTGTCAAATATTTAGGCACATAGTAGGAGAAAAAGCCCACTGTACACTTATATTTGGAAAGCACCAATTAATATTTGAAAAGCGCCAATTATAAAAAACAAAAAACTGCCTTTGCAGAGAGCAACCTAGTGGGGAAAAATGATAATGATATTCTGCTAATTCTAGCTTTTTCCAATTGTTTTAGTCACTCTGTACTTCTTATTCTGTAGCTTTGCTATTGTTTTTCATGTGCTTTTTGACTTTCCACCTCTTTAGTTGACATTTTGTTTCTGTTTTTCTGTTTCTTGTTCTGTTTGAACTATTGTTCTTTTTTATGTATAATTACAGTGTAAGCCAGAAGTCCAGATAACGTTAAGCTAGAAAGCCCCTATTAATATGCATTTGTACCACAAAAAGTAATGAGCGCATTTGTATGACAAATGAAAATGTGTTATCTTGGAGAATAGTGAACACGAAGGTTAGGCAATGTGAAGATTCAATGACGTTTTCCCAAGTTCAAGGATTGCATTTAGGAACTATATTTCCCCTGGGTTAGAGGTGGGTGTTAAGTAGAAAGAGAATTGGAAGCTGATAAAGGAATTACTAACACTGCCATTTGTTTTACAAATTTCAATTAAAGGATTTAATATGATAGTTAAACTATAAATTACATTTAGTAAAGGTGCAAGATGGGCATTTTCCTTAATTTAATATTCCTGCCTAATGGCAGGGGGCATTAATCCCTGAGTCACTGGGTGGTCTCAAACTCAAACTAAAATCCTGGTATTTATGATTCCCGGTTAAACAATACTGTGCATCAGACAGCAGAGTCGAATAAAGTAGTTTTTTCTTTAGAGCCTAGAATTTGATATGATCCCATTGCACTTGAAACATTTAGCAGATCTAGAATGAATCAAATGTTTGGATAAACCACTGCAGTTTATCTTTCATTTGCTTGACAATTGCAAATGAAGTATGATTTGATTTTGTTGGGTTGCAAAGCCAATATAAAGGAACATTTAAGGAAAAAGAGCATCAAGACATGAATGTATACTTAATGTTATCAAATTATAAAAACTTAACAAAATCAATTTTGCAGAATTTATAGAGAGAGTTCCATGACATTTCCAATCAGGTGAAAAGGGCTTATCTTTTTCAATCACAAAGCTTAACATACTTTATCTAGTGCTTCGCATTTTTAATTTACACTCTGTTAAAGGGCTAACTCCAAGTTGATTTGTGTGTGTGTATGTATACATGATATATGTATATATATATACACACACGCACACACATATATATGTATATAATAAAGGCTTTTGAATCAAGTGTTCCATGTCTTCTCTTACTGGAGGTCCAGATAGAGACCAGTGTTCTGGTGATAGGAATATAATACAGAATATAATTCTACAGAGAAGAAATGAATGCAGAGTGGAGATGATGCAGACATCAACTATGATATTAACGACCATGAAATAGAAAAGAAAACGATCAGAATTTGGAAGAGCTTTAGCTAAGAGGCACAGAATCAGCTTCTACATGGAGTTTGTGAAGCTATGAAAATTTGTTAGTGGTTTTTTCAGCATAAATGATAGCAGGCAACAGCCTGATAAGAATACTTCTCTACCTAAAATTCTTCCACAGATGCCACTGCTCTTATGATCAAGTTCTTTATAGTCATTTTTTGGCCTTGGAAATTTGGCTACTTTTTATGCCCTGGCCTCTTGCTCTCCAGCCACATTCTTTCTGCTCCTTAGAACTCTGCATATAACTTGCTGCCTCAACCCACCTAATTCCTTGAGCTCACTTGCTCCTGCTGGGTTTCCAGTTCTGCAGGGAAGGCTTCCCTTTCCAAGGACTAAGTTAGGGATTCTTGCTATATGCTCTCATAACACCCTCTGTCACTAACGTTGTAGTCAGTTACTACTTTGTTATTTCTTTAGTGCCGGTCTCCCTCTTTAGACTGGTATTTCCATGAGTAGGGACCATTATCTGTCTTGCTTAAGCATGTTGCATGGCACATAAGAAAAAAAGTTAATTGGATGAATAAATGAACAAGGGAGAAACTTGTTATTGTGGGTTTGTATGCCTTCCCCACAACAAAACAAAAGATATGTCGAAGTCCTTAATCCTCAGTACTGTGAATGTGTCCTTACTTGGAAATAGGGTCTTTATAGATATAATCAAGTTAAAGTGAGGCCATTAGGGTAGGCCTTAATCTAATATGACTGGTGTCCTTATAGGAGGAAAATGCCACAGGAAGACAGAGACACATGCAAGAAACTGCATAGGGCGACAGAGGCAGAGGCTGGGGTGATGCTTCTATAAGCCAAACACCATGGATTGATGGCCTCCACCAGAAGCTAGGACGAGAACAGGAAGGATTCTAGTGAGTCTTAAAGGTGAGAGGTGACAGCGTGCTGGCAGTCCTCAGAGCCCTCGCTTGCTCTCGGCACCTCCCCTGCCTGGGCTCCCACTTTGGTGGCATTTGAGGAGCCCTTCAGTCCCCCACTGCACTGTGGGAGCCCCTTTCTGGGCTGGCCAAGGCCGGAGCCCACTTCCTCAGCTTGCAGGGAGGTGTGGAGGGAGAGGCACGAGCGGGAACCGGGGCTGTGTGCGGCGCTTGCGGGCCAGCTGGAGTTCCGGGTGGGCGTGGGCTTGGTGGGCCCCGCACTCGGAGCAGCCAGCCAGCCAGCCCTGCTGGCCCCGGGCAATGGGGGACTTAGCACCCGGGCCAGTGGCTGCGGAGGGTGTACTGAGTCCCCCAGCAGTGCTGGCCCACTGGCGCTGCGCTCGATTTCTTGCGAAGCCTTCTTGGGAAGGCCTTGGCTGCCTTCCCACGGGGCAGGGCTCGGGACCTGCAGCCCGCCATGCCTAAGCCTCCCACCCACTCCATGGGCTCCTGTGCGGCCCGAGCCTCCCTGACGAGCGCCACCCCCTGCTCCATGGCGCCCAGTCCCATCGACCACCCAAGGGCTGAGGAATGCGAGTGCACGGCACAGGACTGGCAGGCAGCTCCACCTGCAGCCCCGGTGCGGGATCCACTAAGTGAAGCCAGCTGGGCTCCTGAGTCTGGTGGGGACGTGGAGAGTCTTTATATCTAGCTCAGGGATTGTAAATATACCAATCAGCACCCAGTGTTTAGCTCAAGGTTTGTGAGTGTACCAATCGACACTCTGTATCTAGCTGCTCTGGTGAGGACGTGGAGAGTTTTTAGATCTAGCTCAGAGATTGTAAATACACCAATCAGCACCCTGTGTTTAGCTCAAGGTTTGTGAGTGCACCCATCGACACTGTATCTAGCTGCTCTGGTGAGGACGTGGAGAACCTTTATGTCTAGCTCAAGGATTGTAAACACACCAATCAGCACCCTGTGTTTAGCTCAAGGTTTGTGAATGCACCAATCGACACTCTGTATCTAGCTGCTCTGGTAGGGCCTTGGAGAACCTGTGTGTGGAAACTCTGTATCTAACTAATCTGATGGGGACATGGAGAACTTTTGTATCTAGCTCAGGGATTGTAAACGCACCAATCAGCACCCTGACAAAACAGGCCACTCGGCTCTACCAATCAGCAGGATGTGGGTGGGGCCAGATAAGAGAATAAAAGCAGGCTGCCCGAGCCAGCATTGGCAACCCGCTCGGGTCCCCTTCCACACCGTGGAAGCTTTGTTCTTTCGCTCTTTGCAATAAATCTTGCTACTGCTCACTCTTTGGGGGTCCACGCTGCTTTTATAAGCTGTAACACTCACCACGAAGATCTGCAGCTTCACTCCTGAGCCCAGCAAGACCACGAGCCCACCGTGAGGAATGAACAACTCCAGACGCGCTGCCTTAAGAGCTGTAACACTCACTGCGAAGGTCTGCAACTTCACTCCTGAGCCAGCAAGACCGCGAACCCACCAGAAGGAAGAAACTCTGAACACATCTGAACATCAGGAGGGCAGACTCCAGACACACCACCTTAAGAGTTGTAACACTCACCGCGAGGGTTCACGGCTTCATTCTTGAAGTCAGTGAGACCAACAACCCACCAATTCCGGACACAAAGGGAGCATGGCCCTGCTCACATCTTGATTTCAGCCCTCTAGTCTTTAGAGCTGTGAGAGAGTAAGTGATTGTTGTTTAAAGCTACCCAGTTTAAAATATTCTTGTTAGGACAGCCCTAGAAAATGAATACCTCTGGTCGTCACAGCTAGTGCTGAAGAGTACAATAGAACCAGCAGCAGTGGCACTGACTTCTAGGTTGAAGGGCAGTGGTGCTCAAGGTCATGTTTACTCTTGGCAGAGCCTGAGAAAGGACACTCATGAGGAAAGCTAACAGTTACTACTTAATGGTAGTTACATACACTATCATCATGTAAACACACTATACTTGCATTATTTTATTTACCCCTGGGGATATCTCATGAGTTAGATTCTATTATCCTTATTTTATAGATGAAGAAACTGGAAATCAGTGAGGTTAAGAAATGGCAAGGCCTTCATTTGAACACAGGCAAGGATAGATGGCAGGAAAAGACATCCTAGAAAATGCCAGTTTGTATATAGTTACTCAGTTCCCAAAAATATTAAGAATTCATATGGGTCAAACTTTCACAGGCTGCTGCTGTGTACTGACATCCAGCCTATTTCAAAACTGTTATTGACATATAGGTATATACTTTCTATTTTTAAGTTTGTTTTTGCCAATACTGTCAATCAGCTTATATGTTTCATAACACCCTAGGCAATGCAATGTCATCTGTGTCATCACATACAAAATTTTTATATTTATAGCCACCTCATTAAAACTCAGAGGTACTTATGACATTTTAGTGCTGACTCCTTCTATTATAGGTTCTTTTTCTTCTGCTTCCATAGTAGGTCAACCAGTAGCCCAGGCTCAGAAGAAAAATGCAGAGACATCAAAAGTTGGAAAGAATCTTGATGGGGAAAGATATCATTAATTCTCTCTCCAAGAGAGAATTGCATTTCTCAAAGATGAAATCAATTCTTGGAGTTCTCAAGAGAAAGAGATTCCATTGAGTCTCTGTGTGTAGAGAGAGTGAGATATTGGAAACGGAGCCCAGCTTCAAACCTGAGTCTCCCACAATCACCCCAAGTTGCTAACTCTCCATTTCCTCACCTGTGAAATGCATCTGAGAGTTGCTCACTTGCTGCCAGAGTTTTTGTGAGACAAAAGTTGAGAGTATGTAGAGGAAGGTGTCAGGGCAATTTCACTAAAAAAGTTCTATGAGGAGAGAGTGTCTTTTCTTTATTTTAGAAACATTTTTATTATTGAGTCCCAGGCATCTTTACCCTTTGCTTTTCTGGCTTTAAAACAAATTTTGGACCCTCCATCATCTCTATTGCTCTTTTGCATCTTTTTCAGTTTTCAATTGCTATATAGCAGGCAGAAGCTCAAAGTGCACAGAACACTGATACCCTCTGCTGTGCAGACCAGATAAGGCACACATGTACACTTTAAAAGAAATGCTGTTTAGAGGAACTTTGTATACTCTTTATTTGATAGTGGTTTACTAGATCCATAGGTTAATTTTGGTAGTTTTGGGCATGTCAATAATTTCCACAGCTCATTTTTCCTTCTCTAGATCTACTTCTCAGACTTCTCTTTTCCTTTAACTTGATTTTGGAAATTTCCTTTTTCTTGTTATGATAATCCCAAATACGAATGGTATTATCCCCAAATGTAGACAATCCTCTAAAAATCCTGTGATATTTGCCTTTTAGAGAAGTGTTCATTATACAGATCACAGGTCCAAATAACATTACCATTGATCCCAAGGAGTGACCTCTGAAAGCACTGTCCAAAATTGTATAAGAATGTCAACAAGTAAGTACTAAAGGTTAATGGTAATAATAATTATAAGATTCCAGATGATTCATTGAGGCTACATTATATGCCAGGCACTGGGTTCTGTATTACCACAGGCATCCTCAAAGGATTTTACTGTCCTTACTCTGCAGAGAAGACTGAGGTTCTCATAAACTAAGTAAACTGCAGAAAAACAATTGAAGGAATTTAGGTTCAGGCACTCAAAAGTCCATGCTTTATCCTCTGCTCCTGACTGCCTCCTAAGGATGTTATAGTTTATTAAGGATCCAACAGCCCTTTTTTTTTTGGAGCCTGCGTGCATACAGGATCAGGGCATCAGAACACGGTGGAATCTTCTTCCTATTATCTGTGAAAATCTGCTTCTTTGCCCTTTACAGTCACTGATACATCCATCTGTTCACAGTAAATTTCTTAATCACCTCTGGCGATGTGATTCTGACTCCTTAAGTATTTTGTCCCTGCCCCCATGGGGAATGCATATTGTTAAAGCATCTGCTCACCTCATTCCTCCAGGTAGGTAAACTCCAAGGCAGAGAATTCACTGGAGGGTTTTTAGCAACATCTACCCTTTCTGGCTGCAAGGGAAGTTGCTCTCTGTCAGTGATCATGGACTATCCTTCACTGTCCTCTTGCATTTAATTTCCTGGACTGAACGTTCCCATCCTTACCCATCCCATTTACTCTGGTGATTTCTGGCCTCTCCTTACACAGATGGTTAAGAAACTGTAATTCCTCCAGGAAGGACTAAGGCTATGGTTTTCAGCAAGGCAAATAATATATGCTACAATAATATGACTTTGCGTTTCTAAAGAGCTGTTATATTATTTGTGCTTATTATAATATTTTCTTTGAATTTACTTATAATAGGGCATGGGCCATCTGAAATCTAGTTTTCAAAAGTGTAGGTAAGAAATCTCTCTCTGGTCATTCCCTTTACTGCCCTGGAAGCTCAGCATTTTTGTATGAATAGATAATTTAGAAAGATGTAATTGTACCTTCACGTAAGGGGTTGGCTTTCTATGATGTTTGACTTTTACTTTGAAGAATTGAATTTAGATGAATATGCCTTATTATCTGCTCTGCAAATGCATGCTTTCCCTCTTCTTAGAAAAGCTGCCAAGATGATCATTGCTAAGTTGCATGCGCATTTCTCATTTTAGAGAAATTTTAGCATTTCAGCACAGATTTGGTTAATAGCACCCTGTACATAAAAGCACAATCTAAAGACGGTCAATATACAAAATATCAGATTTTCTGACATGCACTTATGGAAAAGTTTCATGAACAATAAAAATCAGCACAATTAATACATGTGCGAAAACATGACACTCGATGAATCTCTGCCTTTATTTTCTCCAGGATAGCTGAGCCTGGTGATATTTTCATTATTCGGTAGGCTAGGAAAGTCAGTCTTACCCAGTTTCCCTCTCCAGCTTAGGATCTGTTGCTCCCCTCTTCATTTTCAATTCTATGAATTTCCTCCATATTATTTTAAGATTTAAGCATCCAGATGGGTATCAAATTCCTTCCTCACACCTGGTTTCCCCAGCAAGCAATGAGTTTTTGATTTTTTACTGGGCATGAGCCATCTCTCCTGGCCTGCTTTTTGTAACACACAACACTTTTTCCCTCCCTGGTTTTAATGGCTTAAGGGTCTCAGAATTGGTATCTCTTGAATATCATTTACCCAAGTACCATTAAGGTTTCAGTGGAGAAGGAACTGAGAGAAATAGAAAAACACGGTCCCGTATTTCTGTTCATCTTCAGCCAATCTTATCACACTGCCCTTTCAAAGATGGCTTTGTAATTAATACGGGTGCCAGAGAGGCTAGCAGTACCACTGGCTGCCCAAGCAAGTCACCTTAATGCTTTTATACTGTTAATAAGACATAAATGTGGCTAATAGCAGCATTTTCATATTGCATTAATGCAACACAATTTCTGAATATGATATGAATCTTACCTAATTAGTCACTTTTCAAATGCCCTCAAACCTGTTTTTAAGGGGAATTTGATGCACTGAAAAGAGAATCAGGAGGCAGAGACCTGGAATTACTTAATTTCCCAAGATGTTTCAGATACCCCTATTTGGGGAATTTGAGTATAAAAGTTCTCAAGTATTTTTTACCCCAGTAGAACAGTATCTCAGACCCCTTCTATCATCGTTCCCTTCCATCCATTAGCTAGAAAAACAATACATATCACCTGGAGTTTTTCTCCAACTTAAGGTACTCATAGTTTCTGATACTTTTCTCATAGTACAACATATGAAAAAGCCTGAAAGAGAGCCAGGGATGGTGTCAATTATGAAGGAGGTTAGCTAGAGGCTGGAGTTTCTAATGGCTCACAGTAACCACTCAAGCTCTTTAGCCAAAAATATTATACATCGCTTAGCCATTTTGCCTTCTTCCCTCCTGTCTCTGCTCTCCGTATGTATTTTGATAGTCTATTTCTTCCTTTCTGTATGCCTGTTTTATTTCTCATGGACCTCAGATATCGAGAGATGAGGTAATCATCCCTCAGTTCATAATTCATTAGCATTGTTTTATCTTTTTATCCTTTATTACCTATAATATATTCATTTCTCTACCTTTTATAGGCACCCAGCATAGATCAGTTAATGCCTATACTTAGATAGGTACCAGTGAAAAGCAAAGTTTTATTTGGCAAATGCGTCTTTTAAATATATATAAATTGTATTTTGTTAACAGAATTTATTTTATTTATTTACTCAATCCTTCTTTTAATTACACTTTAAGTTCTAGGGTACATGTGCACAACGTGCAGGTTTGTTACATAGGTATACGTGTGCCATGTTGGTTTGCTGCACCCATCAACTCATCATTTAAATATTTCTCCTAATGCTATTCCTCCCCCAGCCTCCCACCCTACGACAGGCCCCGGTGTGTGATGTTCTCCTTCCTGTGTCCTAGTGTTCTCATTGTTCAATTCCAACTTATGAGTGAGAACATGCAGTGTTTGGTTTTCTGTCCTTGTGATAGCTTGCTGAGCTTCATCCATGTCCCTGCAAAGGACATGAACTCATCCTTTTTTATGGCTGCATAGTATTCCATGGTGTATATGTGCCACATTTACTTAATCCAGTCTATCATTGATGGGCATTTGGGTTGGTTCCAAGTCTTTGCTATTGTGAATAGTGCCGCAATAAACATACGTGTGCATGTGTCTTTATAGTAGCATGATTTATTATCCTTTAGGTATATACCTAGTAATAGGATTGCTGAGTCAAATGGTATTTCTAGTTCTAGATCCTTGAGGAATTACCACACTGTCTTCCACAGTGGTTGAACTAATTTATACTCCCACCAACACTGTAAAAGCTTTCCTATTTCTCCACATCCTCTTCAGCACCTGTTGTTTCCTGACTTTTTAATGATTGCCATTCTAACTGGCATGAGATGGTATCTCATTGTGGTTTTGATTTGCATTTCTCTGATGGCCGGTGATGATGAGCATTTTTTCATGTGTCTGTTGGCTGAATAAATGTCTACTTTTGAGAAGTGTCTGATCGTATCCTTTGCCCGCTTTTTGATGGGGTTTTCTCTTGTAAATTTGTTTAGTTCTTTGTAGATTCTGGATATTAGCACTTTGTCAGATGGGTAGATTGCAAAAATGTTCTCCCATTCTGTAGGTTGCCTGTTCACTCTGACAGTAGTTTCTTTTGCTATGCAGAAGCTCTTTAGTTTAATTAGATCCCATTTGTCTATTTTGGCTTTTGTTACCATTGCTTTTGGTGTTTTAGTCATGAAGTCTTTGCCTATGCCTATGTCCTGAATGGTATTGCCTAGGTTTTCTTCTAGGGTTTTTATGATTTTAGGTCTTACATTTAAGTCTTTAATCCATCTTGAACTAATATTTGTATAAGGTGTAAGGAAGGGATCCAGTTTCAGCTTTCTACATATGGCTAGCCAGTTTTCCCAGCAACATTTATTAAATAGGGAATCCTTTCCCCATTGCTTGTTTTCGTCAGGTTTGTCAAAGATCAGATGGTTGTAGATATGTGGTGTTATTTCTGAGGCCTCTATTCTGTTCCATTGGTCTATGTATCTGTTTTGCTACCAGTACCATGCTGTTTTGATTACTGTAGCCTTGTAGTACAGTTTGAAGTCAGGTAGTGTGAGGTCTCCAGCTTTGTTCTTTTTGCTTAGGATTGTCTTGGCAATGCAGGCTCTTTTTTGGTTCCATATGAACTTCAAAGTAGTTTTTTCCAATTCTGTGAAGAAAGTCGTTGGTCGCTTGATGGGGACGGCATTGAATCTATAAATTACTTTGGGCAGTATGGCCATTTTCACGATATTGATTCTTCCTATCCATGAGCATGGAATGTTTTTCCATTTGTTTGTGTCCTCTTTTATTTCCTTGAGCAGTGGTTTATAGTTCTCCTTGAAGAGGTCCTTCACGTCCCTTGTAAGTTGGATTCCTAGGTATTTTATTCTCTTTGTAGCAATGGTGAATGGGAGTTCACTCAAGATTTGGCTCTCTGTTTGTCTGTTATTGGTGTATAAGAATGCTTGTGATTTTTGCACATTTATTTTGTATCCTGAGACTTTACTGAAGCTGCTTATCAGATTAAGGAGATTTTGGGCTGAGACGACGGGGTTTTCTAGATATACAATCATGTCATCTGCAAACAGGGACAATTTGAATTCCTCTTTTCCTAACTGAATACCCTTTATTTCCTTCTCCTGCCTGATTGCCCTGGCCAGAACTTCCAACACTATGTTGAATAGGAGAGGTGAGAGAGAGCATCCTTGCCTTGTGCAAGTTTTCAAAGGGAATGCTTCCAGTTTTTGCCCATTCAGTATGATACTGGCTGTGGGTTTGTCATAAATAGCTGCCATTATTTTGAGATATATTCCATCAATACCTAATTTATTGAGAGTTTTTAGCATGAAGGGCTGTTGAATTTTGTCAAAGACCTTTTCTGCATCTATTGAGATAATCATGTGGTTTTTATCATTGGTTCTGTTTATATGATGGATTATGTTTATTGTTTTGCATATGTTGAACCAGCCTTGCATCCCAGGGATCAAGCCAACTTGATCATGGTGGATAAGCTTTTTGATGTGCTGCTGGATTCGGTTTGCCAGTATTTTATTGAGGATTTTCATGTCGATGTTCATCAGGGATATTGGTCTAAAATTCTTTTTTGTTGTGTCTCTGCCGGGCTTTGGTATCAGGATGATGCTGGTCTCATAAAATGAGTTAGGGAGGATTCCCTCTTTTTCTATCGATTGGAATAGTTTCAGAAGGAACGGTACCAGCTCCTCTTCGTACCTCTGGTAGAATTCGGCTGTGAATCCATCTGGTCCTGGACTTTTTTTGGTTACTCAGCCCTACTTTTTAAAATATTTAATAATATTGTTGTTTGTAAACCTCTAGCTTTTTCTCACTGCTATATTCGTCATCTATTAAATGTCTATGCTATATTTTAGTTATTCATTATTTTAATGATG
This sequence comes from Homo sapiens, assembly GCF_000001405.40. Lineage (NCBI taxonomy): Eukaryota > Metazoa > Chordata > Mammalia > Primates > Hominidae > Homo > Homo sapiens. The sequence goes on from NC_000010.11 coordinate 80,867,965, forward strand.
GCCTCTAGGTTGATGACTTTAGTACCCCATAAACAATATTACAATGAATATCATTATACATGTTTATTTATGTTCCTATGTGAGTTTCCCTATGAACAAGTAAAATGGCTAAGGTTGTAGGGTATGAATACTTTTAATTTTGCCAAGTTTTGGCATTTTTTCCTCAAAAATGTCTTAAGTGATATCTGTACCCCCATGTGTATTGCAGCACTGTTCACAACAGCCAAGATATGGAATCAGCCTAAGTGTCCATCAACAGTGGAATGGATATACACACAAAGGCATACTATTCAGCCATAAAAAATGAATTCCTGTCATTCATAGCAAAATGGGTGAGTTCAGTGGACATTTTGTTAAATGAAATAAATCAGGCACAGAAAAATAAATACCGCATATTCTTACTCATACATGGGTGCTACAAAAGCTGAGAGTATAGAAGTAGACAGTAGAATTGTGGTTATTAGAGGCTTGGTAGGTTAGGGTGGAGGGAAGGATATGGACAGTTTGGTTAATCAATACAAAATTATAGCTAGATGGGAGGAAGAGGCTCTGGTGTGTAATAGCACTGCAGGGTAACCATAATTAACAATAACTTACTGTATATTTTTAAATAGCTAGAAGAAGGGAATGTTCCCAACACACAGAAATGATAAATGTTTGAGGTGATAGATATGCTAATTGCCATGACTTGATTATTATACATTACATATTTTGAATATTACTCTGTATCCTAAAATATATACAATTATTACACGTCAAGTAAGCACAAAAAATAAAAATTTTCTTGAACAAAAACTGCATAAATGTTCTTACAATTTTTGCTACTGCTTGGTATTGTCTGATTATCAGCTCAAAGTCCAGATTCTCATAATCTAAGTCAGGTCCAGGTGAGTGTGAGGCTTCCTGGATAGAGTTCTTTAAGTATGACTCCTGAATTTGCAATTCTTCTTGAACTGTGAAATTAAAGAGACAAGCTGTTCATCCCCTACATACCTGACAATCAAGATGTCACAGGCACAGGGCAACCTCTGAAGGTATTCCTGTTCAAAAAAGGAGGCACAAAGAGTCAAGGGGAGCTGACCAGAGATGCCTGGTGTTCATTTCCTCCACAAGAAAAGACCAACACAACGAATAAATAGCTAAGATTTGCCTGGAGAATAAAAGGGAGAGCACTGAGTATAGTGGGGGAGTAGAGAGAGACCTCTCTACTACTATATAATAATTCTCCAGTAATAGACCTTTATCATAAGGAAATATACCAAATGCTAGAAAAGGAATTCAAAATAATAACCTGAAGGAGACTCAGTGGTATGTAAGAGAATATAGATAGGCAATTCAATGAAATCAGGAAAATGTTTCCTAATTTGAATGAGAAATTTAACAAAGAGATAAAAGTCACAAGTCACAAAAAACTAAACAAATCCTAGAGTTGAATAATTCAATTAGGAAATAAAATATAAAATTGAGAGCTTCAACAATGGAGTAGACAAAGCAAAGATGGAATTTCTAAACTTGAAGACAAGTCTTTTGAAGTAACACAGATAAATAAAAATGTATAAAAAAGAATCAAGAAAGCCTACAAGATTTATGGAACACAATTATACAAACAAATGTTCACATTAGGGGCACTCCTGAGGAAGAGGAGAAAGGAAAGTTCTAAAAAAACATATTTAATAAAACAATAGCTGAAAAATTCCCATTTTGTGGGTGAGATGGACATGCAGATACAGGAATTGCAAAGAACCCCAAATAGAGTCAATCCAAACAGGTACTCTCCAAGGCACTGGGCTCCATTTCCATCTCCAGCAATGGAGACGGAGATTATAATTATAGTCTAATTATCAAAAGTCAAAGATAAAGACTTCTACAAATAGCAAGTGAAATGTATCAAGTCACATATAAGGAAATTCCCATTAGACTAACAGTGGATTTCTCACAGAAACCTCACAGACCAGGAGGGGCTGGAATGATATATTCAAAATATTGAAAGAAAAAAAAACTGGCAGCCGAGAACATTACATCCAGAAAAGCTATCCTTCAGAAATGAAGGAGAAATAAAATATTTTACAAACAAGCAAAAACTAAAAGAATTCATTACCAAGAGACTGGCGTTAAGAGAAATGCTCAAGGGAGTCTTGCATCTGGAAGGAAAAGATGATAACCACCATTATGAAAACATGCAAAACTACAAAATTCACTGGAAGAGCCAATACACAATGGAGAAAAAGAAAGGAATTAAACATTTTCACTATAGAAAACCATCCAATTGCAAAAACAAACAATAAAAGTAAAGGATGTACCAAAAAAAAGCAGAAAAGGAACCAAAAAATGACAAGAGTAAGTCCTCACCTATCAATAATTACCTTGAATTAAAACAAAATAAATTCATTAAAAAATATAAACTGAGTGAATGTATAAAAAATCAAGACATAACTATATGCTACCTGCAAGAAACTCACCTCGCCTCTAAAGACACACATAGACTGAAAGTGAAGGGATGGTATTTCATGCAAATAGAAACCAAAAGTAAGCAGTAGTAGCTATACTTATATCACACAAAATACACTTCAAGTCAAAAGGTGTAAGTGATAAGGAGACTGTATTCTAATAATAAACCAATCAATTCAGAAAAAGAATACAACAATTGTAAATATATGTGCATCCAACCTTGCATCACCCAGAGATATACTGGGGTCTAGCTCACCCTTTAGAGTTATTGGGGTCTATTGAACTAAAGGGATAGATAGACTCCAATACAAAAATAGCTGGGACTTCAACACCCTATTCTCAGCATTTGACAGATCATTTACATAGAAAATCAACAAAGAAACATCAGATTTAAACTACACCATAGATGAAATGGAACTAAAAGACATTTACAGAACATTTCACCCAACACCTGTAGAATACACATTCTTTTCACCAGCACATGGAACATTCTCTGGGATTCACCGTAGGTTAGGACAAGAAACAAGTTGCAAAAACTTTTTAAAAATTCAAAATAATATCAAGTATCCTGTTTAAGGACAATGAAACAAAACTAGATGCAAATAACAAGAGGAACACCTGAAACTATACAAATATATAGAAATTAAACATACAACCCAATGATGCATCTCAAGAAACTAGAAAAGCAAGAACATACCAAACCCCAGATTTGTAGAATAAATACCAGAGCAGAAATAAAATTTAACTAAAAAATACAAATGATCAACAAAACAAAAAGTTGATTATTTGAAGTGATAAACAAAATTGACAAACCACTAGCTAGATGAAAAAAGGAAGTGAAAAGACCCAAATAAGTTGAAATAAAAAGAGCATACACCACAATGCATACCACAGAAATACAAAGGATTGTTAGAGACTACTATGAACAACTATGTGCCAATAAATTCAAAAACCTAGAGGAAATAGATACATTCCTGGTTACATACAACCTATCAAGACTGAACCAAGAAGAAGGTGAAAACCTGAAAGACAATATAAGTAATAAAATTGAATCAGTAATAAAAAGTCTTTCAAAAAAGAAAAGTCCAGGACTGGATGGCTTCACCACTGAATACTACCAAACCTTTAAATAATATCAAGTCTTCTCAAAGTAATCCAAGAAATGGAAACAAAGGGAACTCTTCCTAATTCATTCCATGAGGTAAGCATAACTCTGATGCCAAAACCAGACAAGGACACAACACAAAAAGAAAATACAGGCAAATATTTTTGATGAACATAGACATAAAAATTCTCAAAATATTAGCAAAGTAAATGTAACAATACATCAAAAAGATAACAGATCATGATCAAATGAGATTTGTCCTAGGAATGCAAGAATGGTTCAACATATGCAAATCAATAAATGTGATATGTCACATCAACAAAATGAAAGACAAAAACCATATGATTGCCTCAGTAGGTGCAGTAAAAGCATTTGGTAAAATTCAACATCCCTTCATAGTAAAAATTCTCCAATAGTTAGGTATAGAAGGAAGGTAACTCAACACTATAAATGCCATATATGACAAACCCACATCCTGTAGTGACATCCTGTAGGAACTGGATGAAGAGAAGGATGCCCGGTCTTGCTACTTTATTCCACATAGTACTAGAAGTCCTAGCAAGAACATTAGATAAGGGAAAGAAATAATGGGCATCCAAATTAGAAAGTAAAAAGTCACATTGTTCCTGTTTGCAGACAATATGATTTTATATATAGAAAATCCTAAAGACTACCAAAAGTCTTTTAGAATTGATGAATGAATTTAGTAAAGATAAAAAAATTAACATATAAAATCAGTAGCATTGCTATTCATGAACAACAAAATAGCTAAAAAAGAAATCAAGAAGATAATGCCATTTACAATAGCTACAAAAAATGAAATACCTAGGAATAAATTTAACTAAGAACTGAAAGGCTTCTATGAGGAAAACTACAAAACACTGACAAAAAAATTAAAGAGGATAAAAACAAATGGAACAACATCTCATACTCATGGCTCCAAAAATATTGTTAAAATGACCGTAGTACCTAAAGCAGTCTACAAATTAAACATGATCCCTATCAAAATACCAATGACTTTCTTCACAGAATTAGAAAAGTCTTAAAATTTGTATAGGGCCAAAAAAAAAAAAAAAAAAGTGGAATAGCCAAAGCAATCCTGAGCAAAAGCACAGAGCTGACACTACAAGACTTCAAAATATACTACAAAGCTGTAGTAAACAAAACAGCAAGGTAATGGCATAAAAACAGATGCATAGGCCAACAGAGGAGGCTAGAGAATTGCAAAATTAATTCACATATATAGAGCCAACTGAGTTTTGATAAAAGACACCAACAACACCTATTGGGGAAAGGAGAGTCATCAATACATCAAACTGGGAAAACTGAATATCCATGTGCAGAAAAATGAGATGAGACCCCCATGTCTCATCCTATACAATAATTAACTCAAAATAGATCAAAGACCTAAAGGTAGGACCTGAAACTATTAGACTGCTAGATGAAAATATAGGTGAAACACTACAGGAAATTGGTCTGGTAAATATTTTATGAATAAGACCTCAAAGCATAGGCAAGGAAAGCAAAAGTAAACAAATGAGATTACATCAAACTTAAAAGCTTCTGCATAGCAAAGGAAACAATGAACAGAGTGAAAAGACAACCTACAGAATAGGAAAAATATTTGAAAACTATGCATCTGACAGGGGATTAATATCCAGAATGTACAATGAACTCAAACATTTTAACAGCAAGAAGTAAACAATCCCATTAACAATGGGGAAATGATCTAAATAAACATTTCGCAAAAGAATATATACAAATGGCCAATCAATATATGAAAAAAATACTCAGCATCATTAATTATCAGGGAAATGCCAATGAAAATCATAATGAGCTATCATCTTATCCTAATTAAGATGGCAATTATCAAAAAGACTAAAAATAAATGCTGGTGAGGGTGCAGAGAAAGGGGGAATGTTTCTACACTGCTATTGGGAATGTAAACTAGTATAGCCACTTGGAGAACAGTATGGAGGTTTTAAAAAAAATCTACAAATAGAACTACCATATGATCAATAATCTCACTACTAGGAATTTATCCAAAGGAAAGAAAATCAGTATATCAAAGAAACATCTGCAACATCATGTTTGTGGTGGCACTATTCATAATAGCCAAGATGTAGAATCAACCTAGATGTCCAACAACAAACGAATGGATAAAGAAAATGTGGGTTACATGCACAGTGGAATACTATTCGGCTATAGAAAAGAATGAAATTCTGTCATTCACTGCAACATGGGTAAAACTGGAGTTCACTTTGTTAAGTTAAATAAATCAAGCACAGAAAGACAAATATCACCTATTGTTATTCATATGCGGAAGCTAATAAAAGTTGAGATCAGAGAAGAAAAGATGATACTAGAGGCTGAAAAGGTGGGGGGAAGGGAATGAAAGGGAGAGATTTTTCAAAGCATTCAAAATTACAACACAATAGCCGAAATAAGTTATAGTGTTCTATACCATTGTAAGATGACTATAGTTAACAATAATATATTAAATACTTTTAATTAGTTAAAAGGAAGATGTTGAATGTTCCCAACACAAAAAAATAAGTGTTTGATCATGATATGCAACTTACCTTGGTCTGATCACTATACATTATATGTATTGAAATATCCCTATGTACCTCATAAATACACACATCAATTTAAAAAATAAAAGGAAGAAAACATTTCAATATTTTAACTTTTATTTCAGATTCAGCAGTGCATGTGCAGGTTATATAGGTAAAATTGTGACTCACAGGTTTGGTGTACATAGTATTTCATACACCAAAACCCCCAGTCTGTTTTGTTCTGAACCTCTTACTTCTCCTACCCTTGACCCTCAAGTAGACCCCAGTGTCTGTTCTTCTCCAATTTCTGTCAATATGTTCTCATTATTTAGCTTCCACTTGTAAGTGAAAACGTGGTATTTGGTTTTCTGTTTCTTTGTTAGTTTGCTAAGGATAATGGCCACCAGTTCCATCCACGTCTCTGCAAAGAACATGATCTTGTTCATTTTATGGCTGCATAATATTCAATGGTGTATATGTACCACATTTTCTTTATCTTGTTGACTGCTGATGGGCATTTAGGTTTATTCCATGTCTTTGCTATTGTGAATAGTGCTACAATGAATATACATGTGCATGTGTCTTTATGGTAGAACAATTTATAATTCTTTGGGTATATACCCAGTAGTGGGATTGCCGTGTTGAATGCTAGTTCTGTTTTTAGTTATTTGAGGAATTGCCACACTGCTTTCCACGATGGTTGAACGAATTTACACTCTCACCAGCAGTTTATAAGCATTCCTTTCTTCTGCAACCTCACCAGCATGTTATTTTTTGACTTTTTAATAATAGCCATTCTGACTGGTTAGAATGGTATCTCATTGTGATTTTGACTTGCATTTCTCTAATGATTATATTGAGCATTTAAAAAATATGGTTGTTGGCCACACTTATGCCTTCCTTTGAAAGGTGTCTGTTTATGTCCTTTGCCCATTTTTTTATTATAATTTAATTTCTTGGATACATATCCAGAATGTGTAGGTTTGTTACATAGGTATACATGTGCCATGGTGGTTTGATGCATCCATCAACCCGTCATCTAGGTTTTAAGCCCCGCATGTATTAGGTATCTGTCATAATGCTCTCCCTCCCTTTGCCCCCTACCCCTCGACAGGCCCTGGTGTGTGATGTTCCCTTCCCTGTGTCCATGTGTTCTCATTGTTCAATTCCCAATTGTGAATGAGAACATGCAGTGTTTGGTTTTCTGTTCCTGTGTTAGTTTGCCAAGAATGATGGTCTCCAGGTTCATCCATGTCCCTGCAAAGGACATTAGTTCATTCTTTTTTATAGCTGCATAGGATTCCATGCTGTATATGTGCCACATTTTCTTTATCCAGTCTATCATTGAGGGGCATTTGGGTTGGTTCCAAGTCTTTGCTATTATGAATACTGCTGCAATAAACATACGTGTGCATGTGTTTTTATAGAATGATTTATAATCCTTTGGTATATACCCAGTAATGGGATTGCTGGGTCAAATGGTATTTCTGGTTCTAGATCCTTGAGGAATCGTCACACTGTCTTCCACAATGGTTGACCTAGTTGAGACTCCCAACAACAACATAAAAGCATTCCTATGTCTCTACATCCTCTCCAGCAACTGTTGTTTCCTGACTTTTTAATGATTGCCATTCTAACTGGTGTGAGATGGTATCTCATTTTGGTTTTGATTTGCATTTCACTAACGACCAGTGATGACGAGCTTTTTTTTATATGTTTGTTGGGTGCATAAATGTCTTTTTCTGAGAAGCGTCTGTTCATGTCCTTCACCCACGTTCTGATGGGGTTTTTTTTTCTTGTAAATTTGTATAAGTTCCTTGTAGATTCCGGATATTAGACGTTCATCAGATGGATAGATTGCAAAATTTTTCTCCCATTCTGTAGGTTACCTGTTCACTCTGATAATAGTTTCTCTTGCTCTGCAGAAGCTCTTTAGTTTAATCAGATCCCATTTGTCAATTTTGGCTTTTGTTGCAATTGCTTTTGTTGTTTTAGTCATGAAGCCTTTGCCAATGTATATGTCCTGAATGGTACTGTCTAGGTTTGCTTCTAGGGTTTTTATAGTTTTAGGTCTTACATTTAAATCTTGAGTCTACCTTGGGTTAATTGCCAATGTCCTGAATGGTATTGCCTAGGTTTTCTTCTAGAGTTTTTATGGTTTTAGGTTTTACATTTAAGTCTTCAATCTGTCTTGAGTTAATTTTTGTATACGGTGTAAGGAAGGGGTCCAGTTTCAGTTTTCTGCATATGGCTATCCAGTTTTCCCAGCACCATTTATTAAATAGGGAATCCTTTCCCCATTGCTTGTTTTTGTCAGATTTGTCAAAGATCAGATGGTTGTAGATGTGCGGTGTTATTTCTTGGGCCTCTGTTCTGTTCCATTGGTCTATACATCTGTTTTGGTAGCAGTACCATGATGTTTTGCTTACTCTTTCCTTGTAGTATAGTTTGAAGTCAGGGAGCGTGATGCCTCCAGCTTTGTTCTTTTTGCTTAGGATTGTGTTGGCTATATGGGCTCTTTTTTGGTTCCATATGAAATTTAAAGTAGTTTTCTCTAGTTCTGTGAAGAAAGTCAATGGTAGCTTGATGGGAATAGCATTGAATCTATAAATTACTTTGGACAGTATGGCCATTTTCACGATATTGATTCTTCCTATCTATGAGAATGGAATGTTTTTCCATTTGTCTGTGTCCTCTCTTATTTCCTTGAGCAGTGGTTTGTAGTTCTCCTTTAGGAGGTCCTTCACATCCCTTGTAAGTTGTATTCCTAGGTATTTTATTCTCTTTGTAGCAATGATGAATGGGAGTTCACTCATGATTTGGCTCTCTGCTTGTCTATTATTGGTTTATAGGGATGCTTGTGATTTTTGCACATTGATTTTGTATCCTGAGACTTTGCTGAAGTTGCTTATCATCTTAAGGAATTTTTGGGCTGATTTGATGGTGTTTTCTAAATATGCAATCAGGTCATCTGGAAACAGAGACAATTTGACATCCTCTCTTCCTGTCTGAATACCCTCTCTTTCTTTCTCTTGCCTGATTGCCCTGGCCAGAACTTCCAATACTATGTTGAATAGGAGTGGCGAGAGAGGGCATCCTTGTCGTGTGCCGGTTTCCAAAGGGAATGCTTCCAGCTTTTGCCCATTCATATGATGTCGGCTATGGGTTTGTCATAAATAGCTCTTATTATTGCGATATATTCCATAATACCTGGTTTATTGAGAGGTTTTAGCATAAAGTGTTGTTGAATTTTATCAAAGTCCTTTCTGCATTTATTGACATAATCATGTACTTTTTGTCATTGGTTTCGTTTATGCGATGGATTACATTTATTGATTTGCATATGTTGAACCAGGCTTGCATCCCAGGGATGAAGCCGACTTGATTGTGGTGGATAATCTTTTTGATGTGCTGCTGGATTCGGTTTGCCAGTATTTTATTGAGGATTTTCACATCGATGTTCATCAGGGATATTGGCCTGAAATTTTCTTTTTTTGTTGCATCTCTGCCAGGTTTTGGTATCAGGATGCCGCCTGCCTCATAAAATGAATTAGGGAGGAGTCCCTCTTTTTCTATTGTTTGGAATAATTTCAGAAGGAATGGTACCAGCTCCTCTTTGTACCTCTGGTAGAATTTGGCTGTGAATCCATCTGTTCCTAGGCTTTTTTTGGTTGTTAGCTTTGCCCACTTTTTAATGGAGTTGTTTTTTTCTTGTATGTTTAATTTCCTTGTAGATTCTGGATATTAGAACTTTGTGAGATGTGTAGATTGCAAATATTTTCTCCCATTCTATAGGTTACCTATTCTGTTGACAGTTTCTTTTGCTATACAGAAGCTCTTTAGTTTAATTAGCTCCCCTTTTTCAATTTTTGCTTTTGTTGCAATTGATTTAGACATTTTTTGTCATGAAATCTTTGCCAGTTCCTATCTCCAAAATGGTATTTCCTATGTTATCTCCCAAGATTTTTATAGTTTTAGGTCTTACATTTAGGTCTTTAATCCATCTTGGGTTGATTTTTTTTCATATAGTATAAGGAATGGGTTCACTTTCAGTCTTCTGCATATAGCTAACCAGTTATCCCAGCACCATATATTGAACAGTGAGTCCATTTCCCATTGCTTGTTTTTGTCAGCTTTGTCAAAGATAAGATAGTTGTAAGTGTGGTTTTATTTCTCTGTTCTCTGTATTGTTCCATTGATCAATGTGTTTATTTTTGTATCAGTACCGTGCTGTTTTGGTTACAGACTTTGGTTGTAGCCTTGTAGTACAGTTTGAAGTCAGACAATGTGATTCTTCCAGCTTTATTCTTTTTGCTTAGGATTGCCTTGGCTATTCAAATAGCAATTATAAAATTGAACTGGGCAAATGTTAGAAGTTTCTTACTAAGACTCAGTCCCGCTTCTGCCCAGGAGGTAATTTGCATGGCTCTTGGCTATACTCTCTGGGCTCTTGGTTTCACTAAGTCATCCTTTCATTTTTATGAAAGGTAGCCTGTGTTTGCAGCTGAATAGTTTCTCCACAAGCATCTTGTTTATTTTTGGGTTGCTAAGGCTTCTTTTCATTTTGTACTGTCTCTGTTCCCTTCAGTCCAAGTTGGTGATGTTTCTGCATGTATAATTCTCTTGAAAGCTTTGTAGGTCTCCTGTGCATCTTTCTGGAGTTCACCCCATTAGACAAAAGCACATCTGTAGGTCTCTTCAAGATGACCACTTTTCTGCTTTGGACTTCTAGTGAGGGATAACACTCTTAATCTTCTTAGAGCTCTATTGTTTGATTTAAAGCATCTGAGAGTCACACTCTTGCAACCATAAGGGAGCTTTAAAAAGAAATCTGACCTAGTGACACTTTGAGGCACGACTTTTCATTTTTAGAAGGTCTTAACAAAGAATTTTATGCTCACACCCTCAGCTTCACTTTAAACCATGTTTTCTTGAGGATTTCCTAGATTTGATCTTTGCTCATGGCCATTTCTTAATTCTAGTATTAATCATCATCTGAAGAGGCTGGGAATCTTCGTAACTCACAAGTTCTAATTGTTTTTGTATAACATCCCTTTCTTTAGCAAATCACTCTTAGATTTTACCATACATAGTATTTATGTGGCATTTTCATCATTTTGGCTGGAAATTTCCTTAGCTAGATCATCCAGGTCACTAGGTACCTTTTGTACCTTCCACATTACTTCTGGTGACTGTCGCTAAACTTTCTACCACTATATAATGAGACTCTTTTTTCCTCAAATTTCCAATAAGATTTTCCTCATTTCTTCTGAGCCCTCACCAACAACCTCTTCTAAGTTAAAAATTCAACAAACAGTCTGATTAAGGCAATTTAGATTTTCACCAATGCTCTCTTTAAAGGCCTTCATCCATCCAGGTGCTGCCCACTTCCTCTCCCACATTTTAGATTTTTGTTATGGTATATCCCATTTTTAGTGCCAAACTGTATTTTTTTTATTGCTGCCTAAAAAATTATTCCTAAACATAGTATATTAAAACAAAAAAAATTATCTTACATTATCAAGTCAGGAACCTGAGAACAGCTTATCTGGGTGATTCTGCCTCAGCATCTCTCACAATGCTGCAGGTAAGCTACTGGTCAGAGTGGCAATCATTTCAAAGCTTAACAGCCTAGAAAATCTCGCTAAATTTACTCATATAGTTATTGGTAGCCCTCAGTTCCTCACTGACTCCTGGCTGGAGGGTGAATTCCTTGCTGACTTCCCCAGAGGGCTGCTGCTGACATTGCTGTCTATTTTCCCCAGAGCTCCCCTGTCTGCTATATAGGGATAGAGATGAAAGAGAATGCACCGAAGATATAAATCATAGTGTTTTATAATCCTACCTTTTACAATCATAGTGTTTTATAATCAATTCTGCCATATGCTTTTGGTTACCCAAACCAACCACGATACACTGTGAGTGAGAACTATATAAGGTTGTGCATACCAGGAGGTAAGGATCTTTGGGGAATAGAGCACCACAATGACTCAACTTTCTTAACACTGTTATTAAACAATTCATTGCTTCTCTATTGATTCTTAGTTATCCCTAGGATATAGAAAAATTTTATATGATTTCTGGATTTTTTATTCTTTTCCATTTGTCTCATTTTATACTTGTGAACTTTTGATATGTTTTAGCTGAAAGAACATGAAGAAAGTAAATGGTTAAACAATAGGTCTATAGTTCTGTCTCTCACAGAGGGATTTCCCTGGGAAAAAAAGAAGATAAGGCAATTCAGTCAAATCTCCTTGTAAATATACTAATGACAGATATCCGGATAAATAACTAGTAATATTTGCTAGTGGGAGAGTTCAGCAGGATATACCATTATCTAAGATTATTTCTGGTAAACCAGCCTGGGATCTATGGATTTATGGAGCATAGCTTTCTGGAAAATTTCACATAAGCTGAGTAATTCACTATCAGATGAACAAATGTTTTATGCCAATTTGGCAAATAGATAATCAAATTTAGAGGCTTGCTCTGATTTAGTTTGTTTTTTCCTCCAAGAATATTTCATAGATGAGGTTGTCATCTTCCACAGGAGACACATAGTATGTGTTTGTCTCTCTTTTTGTCATATTAACAGCCATTGGCAATCAGTGTTAGATTAATTCCTTAGAAGCTGTAAAATGGTGGAATCCTATTATTCCTTCATTTATTAGCTATAATAGAATACTATAAAGAGAAACTTCCCTTCATCTACTATTTGGCAATCCATTGGTATAGTTCTTATAGGAAAGGCAGGATAAATGCTTTAGTCTTTCCTTTATTAATATGCAAAAGGTAAAGTTTGCTATCTTCAATGTTGACCTATTATAGTATTATGAAATCATACATTTAAACATGTCTTATGTATTTTAATACATCGTAGTTATTACTCTTATTGGTGTTGACATTGCATTATACTATATGTGGCAAGTGGAAACATCACTGAATTGGCTCTTGAGCCCTCTAGACATAATTCTAATATTCTTTGATAGCTTCCTTATTATCAGGCATGACAACATATTCTAGGCTTATCTTGCACATTTCTGCCCAGATTGGAAAACAGCTATTTTTTAAGGATTCTTGGTTTCCTTTAGAGGGAACTGATGTTTACAACCAATGCTTTGAATGTTAAGTTTCTTTATTTTTCTCCTAAAACTAATAAGCAATTTTATTCATAAGATTGCAGGATACCAGGTTGATTTAAAAAAAAGTTTTCTTATATACCAGCAATGAACAACTTGAATTTGAAATTGAAATCATACCAATCACATTAGCTACAAAAAAGTATAAATTTTATGAAATGTGTCCAAGATCTACATGAAGAAAACTACAAAACTCTGATCAAAGAAATACAAGAAAATCCAAATAAAAGATATTCCATATACAAGGACAGGAAGGGTGGAACCAAGATGGACAAATAGGAACAGCACCAGTCTACAGATCCCAGTGTGAGCGACGCAGAAGACTGGTGATTTCTGCATTTCCAACTGAGGTACGGGGTTCATCTCAGTGGGGAGTGTTGAAAAGTGGGTGCAGGACAGTGGGTGCAGTGCACTGAGCATGAACTGAAGCAGGGTGAGGCATTGCCTCACCCAGGAAGTGCAAGGGGTCAGGGAATTCCCTTTCTTAGTCAAAGAAAGGGGTGACAGATGGCACCTGGAAAATCGGGTCACTCCCACCCTAACACTGCGCTTTTCCAATGGTCTTAGCAAATGGCACACCAGGAGATTATATCTCACATCTGGCTCGGGGGGTCCTATGCCCACTGAGCCTAGCTCACTGCTAGCACAGCAGTCTGAGATTAAACTGCAAGGTGGCAGTGAGGCTGGGGGAGGGGCGCCAGCCATTGCCAAGGCTTGAGTAGGTAAACAAAGCAGCCAGGAAGCTCGAACTGGATGGAGCCCACCGAAGCTCAAGGAGGCCTGCCAGCCTCTGTAGACTCCACCACTGGGGGCAGGGCATTGCCAAACAAAAGGCAGCAGAATCCTCTGCAGACTTAAATGTCCCTGTCTGACAGCTTTGAAGAGAGTAGTGGTTCTCCCAGCATGCAGCTGGAGATCTGAGAATGGGCAGAATGCCTCCTCAAGTGGGTCCCTGACCCCCGAGTAACCTAACTGGGAGGCACCCGCCAGTAGGGGCAGACTGACACCTCACACGGCAGGTACTCCTCTGAGACAAAACTTCCAGAGGAACGATCAGGCAGCAACATTTGCCGTTCACCAATATCTGCTGTTCTCCAGCCACTGCTGCTGATACCCAGGCAACCAGGGTCTGGAGTGGACCTCCAGCAAACTCCAACAAACCTGCAGCTGAGGGTCCTGACTGTTAGAAGGAAAACTAACAAACAGAAAGGACATCGACACCAAAACCCCATCTGTACATCACCATCATCAAAGACCAAAGGTAGATAAAACCACAAAGATGGGGAAAAAACAGAGCAGAAAAACTGGAAACTCTAAAAATCAGAGTGCTTCTCCTCCTTCAAAGGAACACAGCTCCTCACCAGCAACGGAACAAACCTGGATGGAGAATGACTTTGATGAGTTGAGAGAAGAAGGCTTCAGATGATCAAACTACTCCAAGCTAAAGGAGGAAGTTCGAACCAATGGCAAAGAAGTTAAAAACCTTGAAAAAAAATTAGACGAATGGCTAACTAGAATAAGCAATGCAGAGAAGTCCTTAAAGGACCTGATGGAACTGAAAACCAAGGCACGAGAACTACGTGAAGAATGCGGAAGCCTCAGTAGCCGATTCAATCAACTGGAAGAAAGGGTATCAGTGATGGAAGATCAAATGAATGAAATGAAGCGAGAAGAGAACTTTACAGAAAAAAGAATAAAAAGGAACAAACGAAGCCTCCAAGAAATATGGGACTATGTGAAAAGACCAAATCTACATCTGATTGGTGTACCTGAAAGTGATGGGGAGAATGGAACCAAGTTGGAAAACACTCTGCAGGATATTATACAGAACTTCCCCCATCTAGCAAGGCAGGCCAACATTCAAATTCAGGAAATACAGAGAATGCCACAAAGATACTCCTTGAAAAGAGCAACTCCAAGACATAATTGTCAGATTCACCAAAGCTGAAATGAAGGAAAAAATGTTAAGGGCAGCCAGAGAGAAAGGTCGGGTTACCCACAAAGGGAAGCCCATCAGACTAACAGCGGATCTCTCAGCAGAAACTCTACAAGCCAGAAGAGAGTGGGGGCCAATATTCAACTTTCTTAAAGAAAAGAATTTTCAACCCAGAATTGCATATCCAGCCAAACTAAGCTTCATAAGTGAAGGATAAATAAAATCCTTTACAGACAAGCAAATGCTGAGAGATTCTGTCACCATCAGGCCTGCCCTACAAGAGCTCCTGAAGGAAGCACTAAACATGGAAAGGAACAACCGGTACCAGCCTCTGCAAAAACATGCCAAATTGTAAAGACCATCAAGGCTAGGAAGAAACTGCATCAACTAACGAGCAAAATCACCAGCTAACATCATAATGACAGGATCAAATTCACACATAACACAACTAACCTTAAATGTAAATGGCCGAAATGAACCAATTAAAAGGCACAGACTGGCAAATTGGATAAAGAGTCAAGACCCATCAGTGTGCTATATTCAGGAAACCCATTTCACGTGCAGAGACACACAGAGGCTCAAAATAAAGGGATGGAGGAAGATCTACCAAGCAAATGGAAAACAAAAAAAGGCAGGGGTTGCAATCCTAGTGTCTGATAAAACAGACTTTAAACCAACAAAGATCAAAAGAGACAAAGAAGGCCATTACATAATGGCAAAGGGATCAATTCAACAAGAAGAGCTAACTATCCTAAATATATATGCACCCAATACAGGAGCACCAAGATTCATAAAGCAAGTCCTTAGAGACCTACAAAGAGACTTAGACTCCCACACAATAATAATGGGAGACTTTAACACCCCACTGTCAATACTAAACGATCAACGAGACAGAAAGTTAACAAGGATATCCAGGAACTGAACTCAGCTCTGCACCAAGCAGACCTAATAGACATCTACAGAACTCTCCACCCCAAGTCAACAGAATATACATTCTTCTCAGCACCACACTGCACTTATTCCAAAATTAACCACATAGTTGGAAGTAAAGCACTCCTCAGCAAATGTAAAAGAACAGAAATTATAACAAACTGTCTCTCAGACCACAGTGCAATCAAACTAGAACTCGGGATTAAGAAACTCACTCAAAACCGCTCAACTACATGGAAACTGAACAACCTGCTCCTGAATGACTACTGGGTACATAACAAAATGAAGGCAGAAATGAAGATGTGCTTTGAAACCAATGAGAACAAAGACACAACATACCAGAATCTCTGGGACACATTCAAAGCAGTGTGTAGAGGGAAATTTATAGCACTAAATGCCCACAAGAGAAAGCAGGAAAGATCTAAAATTGACACCCTAACATCACAATTAAAAGAACTAGAGAAACAAGAGCAAGCACATTCAAAAGCTAGCAGAAGGCAAGAAATAACTAAGATCAGAGCAGAACTGAAGGAAATGGAGACACAAAAAACCCTTCAAAAAATCAATGAATCCAGGAGCTGGTGTTTGGAAAAGATCAACAAAACTGATAGACCGCTAGCAAGACTAATAAAGAAGAAAAGAGAGAAGAATCAAATAGACGCAATAAAAAATGATAAAGGGGATATCACCACCGATCCCACAGAAGTACAAACAACCATCAGAGAATACTATAAACACCTCTATGCAAATAAACTAGAAAATCTAGAAGAAATGGATAAATTCCTCGACACAAACACCCTTCCAAGGCTAAACCAGGAAGAAATTGAATCTCTGAATAGACCAATAACAGGCTCTGAAATTGAGGCAATAATTAATAGCCTACCAACCAAAAAAAGTCCAGGACCACATGGATTCACAGCCGAATTCTACCAGAGGTACAAGGAGGAGCTGGTACCATTCCTTCTGAAACTATTCCAATCAATAGAAAAAGAGGGAATCCTCCCTAACTCATCTTATGAGGCCAGCATCATCCTGATACCAAAGCCGGGCAGAGACACAACAAAAAAAGAGAATTTTAGACCAATATCCCTGATGAGCATCGATGCAAAAATCCTCAATAAAATACTGGCAAACCCAATCCAGCAGCACATCAAAAAGCTTATCCACCATGATCAAGTGGGCTTCATCCCTGGGATGCAAGGCTGGTTCAACATATGCAAATCAATAAACATAATCCAGCATATAAACAGAACCAAAGACAAAAACCACATGATTATCTCAATAGATGCAGAAAAGGCCTTTGACAAAATTCAACAACTCTTCTTGCTAAAAACTCTCAATAAATTAGGTACTGATGGGATGTATCTCAAAATAATAAGAGCTATCTATGACAAACCCACAGCCAATACCATACTGAATGGGCAAAAAATGGAAGCATTCCCTTTGAAAACTGGCACAAGACAGGGATGCCCTCTCTCACCACTCCTATTCAACATAGTGTTGGAAGTTCTGGCCAGGGCAATCAGGCAGGAGAAGGAAATAAAGGGTATTCAGTTAGGAAAAGAGGAAGTCAAATTGTTCCTGTTTGCAGATGATATGATTGCATATCTAGAAAACCCCATCGTCTCAGCCCAAAATCTCCTTAAGCTGATAGGCAACTTCAGCAAAGTCTCAGGATACAAAATAAATGTGCAAAAATCACAAACATTCTTATACACCAATAACAGACAAACAGAGCCAAATCATGAGTGAACTCCCATTCACAATTGCTTCAAAGAGAATAAAATACCTAGGAATCCAACTTACAAGGGACCTGAAGGACCTCTTCAAGGAGAACTACAAACCACTGCTCAATGAAATAAAAGAGGATACAAACAAATGGAAGAACATTCCATGCTCATGGGTAGGAAGAATCAATATCGTGAAAATGGCCATACTGCCCAAGGTAATTTATAGATTCAATGCCATCCCCATCAAGCTACCAATGACTTTCTTCACAGAATTGGAAAAAACGACTTTAAAGTTCATATGCAACCAAAAAAGAGCCCGCATTGCCAAGTCAATCCTAAGTCAAAAGAACACAGCTGGAGGCATCACGCTACCTGACTTCAAACTATGCTACACGGCTACAGTAACCAAAACAGCATGGTACTGGTACCAAAACAGAGATATAGACCAATGGAACAGAACAGAGCCCCGAGAAATAATGCTGCATATCTACAACCATCTGATCTTTGACAAACCTGACAAAAACAAGCAATGGGGAAAGGATTCCCTATTTAATAAATGGTGCTGGGAAAACTGGTTAGCCATATGTAGAAAGCTGAAACTGGATCCCTTCCTCACACCTTATACAAAAATTAATTCAAGATGGATTAAAGACTTAAACGTTAGACCTAAAACCATAAAAATCCTAGAAGAAAACCTAGGCATTACCATTCAGGACATAGGCACGGGCAAGGACTTCATGTCTAAAACACCAAAAGCAACGGCAACAAAAGTCAAAATTGACAAATGGGATCTAATTAAACTAAAGAGCTTCTGCACAGCAAAAGAAACTACCATCAGAGTGAACAGGCAACCTACAGAATGGGAGAAAATTTTTGCAATCTACTCATCTGAGAAAGGGCTAATATCCAGAATCTACAATGAACTCAAACAAATTTAGAAGAAAAAAACAACCCCATCAAAAAGTGGGCGAAGGATATGAACAGACACTTCTCAAAAGAAGACATTTATGCAGCCAAAAGACACATGAAAAAATGCTCATCATCACTGGCCATCAGAGAAATGCAAATCAAAACCACAATGAGATACCATCTCACACCAGTTAGAATGGCAATCATTAAAAAGTCAGGAAACAACAGGTGCTGGAGAGGATGTGGAGAAATAGGAACACTTTTACACTGTTGGTGGGACTGTAAACTAGTTCAACTATTGTGGAAGTCAGTGTGGCGATTCCTCAGGGATCTAGAACTAGAAATACCATTTGACCCAGCAATGCCATTACTGGGTATATACCCAAAGGGTTATAAATCATGCTGCTATAAAGACACATGCACACGTATGTTTATTGCGGCACTATTCACAATAGCAAAGACTTGGAACCAACCCAAATGTCCAACAATGATAGACTGGATTAAGAAAATGTGGCACATATACACCATGGAATACTATGCAGCCATAAAAAATGATGAGTTCATGTCCTTTGCAGGACATGGATGAAGCTGGAAACCATCATTCTCAGCAAACTATTGCAAGGACAAAAAACCAAACACCACATATTCTCACTCATAGGTGGGAATTGAACAATGAGAACACATGGACACAGGAAGGGGAACATCACACACCGGGCCCTGTTGTGGGGTGGGGGTAGGGGGGAGGGATAGCATTTGGAGATATACCTAATGTTAAATGACGAGTTACTGGGTGCAGCACACCAACATGGCACATGTATACATATGTAACAAGCCTGCACGTTGTGCACATGTACCCTAAAACTTAAAGTACAATAAGAAAAAAAAGAAAAAAACAAGGACAGGAAGACTCAATATTGTTAAGATGTCAATTCTTCCTAACTAGATCTATAGAGACTTGATGAAATCTCAATTCAAATCTCAACAAGCTATTTTTTGGTTATTGACAAACAGATTCCACAGTTTATATGAAAAGTCAAAAGACCCAGAATAGAAAACAAAATGTTAAAGGAGAAAAACAAAGTCAGAAGACTGACATATTGGACCTCAAGACTTACCACAAAGCTATAGCAGTCAAGAGTGTATGGTATTGGGGAAGGAACAGAAAAGCAGACAAATGGAGCAGAATAGGGAGCACAGAAACAGGCCTACACAAGTATAGTCAACTGATCCTTGACAAAGGACAAAGGCAACCCAATGGAGAAAAATCATTTTTTCAACAAATGGTGCTGGAACAACTGAACACCCACAAGCAAAAAATAAAAAGATTCTAAACACAGACCTTACACTTTCACAAAAATCAACTCAAAATGGATCCCAGACATATATGCAAAATGCAAAACTACAAAACTCCTAAAAGACAACATAGGAGAAACTGAAGGTAACTTTGGCAATGACCTTTCTTTAAATCACATTTTATCGCAGTTTATTTGTAGAAGCAATTAGAAATCAGAATACTGAAAACTCTTTGCTATACATCAAAATTTCCTTTTTTTTAAAATTACGAGGTGATGCCTATACATGGATATGGCATTTTTTTTCTTAACAATTTGTAGAGATGAAGATAACTGGATTAAAACTATTAAAAATGGAATATTGGTTTCTTTCAGGCATTATTGGTTAAATTAGTGAAATTCAAAGTGGAAAAATATGCTAGATATCTATTAAAATGGTCATTTCAGCTATGGTAGCTAATTACTCTTTTAGTAGACATTTTAAGAGTCTTTCATAAAGTATAGAAATTGAATGGCTATTAAACATTTATTCGCTTTTTAAAAATTTCAACTTGTATTTTGGATTCAGGGGTATATGTGCAGGTTTGTCACATGGTTATATGGCGTGATGTTGAGGTTTGGGGTAAGAATGATCCCTGGTAGGCCGGGCGTGGTGGCTCATGCCTGTAATCCCAGCACTCTGGGAGGCCAAGGCGGGTGACTCACCTAAGGTCAGGAGTTCGAGACCAGCCTGGCCAACATAGCAAAACCCCGTCTCTACTAAAAATACAAAAAAATTAGCCAGGCGTGGCTGGGTGTGGTGGCTCATGCCTATAATCCCAGCACTTTGGGAGGCCAAGGCGGGTGGATCACGAGGTCAGGAGATGGAGACCATCCTGGCTAACACGGTGAAACCTCATCTCTACTAAAAATACAAAAAAGTTAGCCAGGCGTGGTGGTGGGCGCCTGTAGTCCCAGCTACTCGGGAGGCTGAGGCAGGAGAATGGCGAGAACCCAAGAGGCAGAGCTTGCAGTGAGCCGAGATTGCGCCACTGCACTCCAGCCTGGGTGACAGAGCGAGACTTCGTCTCAAAAAAACAAAAAGAAAAACAAAAAATTAGCAGAGCATGGTGGTGGGCACCTGTAGCCCCAGCTACTTGGGAGGCTGAGGCAGGAGAATGGCATGAACCTGGGAGGCGGAGCTTGCAGGGAGCCGATATCCCGCGCCACCACACTCCAGCCTGGGCGACAGAGTGAGACCCCATCTCCAAGAAAAAAAATAATAAAATAAAAAATTAGCTGGGTGTGATACTGCATGCCTGTGGTCCCAGCTACTCAGGAGACTGAGGTGCGAGGATTGCTTGAGCCCAGGACGTTGAGGCTGCCATTAGCTGTGATTGCCACCTCTGCACTCCAGCCTGGGTGACACAGTGAGACCCTACCTTAAAAAACAAAAAAAGAAAAAAAGAAAGAAGAAAATAAATGCTCTTAACTGTTCAGAAAAAAAATGAATTAATGTCATATATTCTGTTAAACTATCAGAATGAGAAAAGATATTTTTTTGACTCTTAAGTCCTCAGGAAGTTAAGTAAGCAAAGATCCTCCCAAAAGCCACTTAGATTGGAGCAAGGTGGCAGTGGGGAAAGGGTCACCTGATACCATCAGTATCCTTGCTAAATTTGAAGCAAACAGGGCATTGCATAGGGTGCAGGCGATTAGAGGTGGTCTGGGGGTCTGAATACCTCCCTCTTCATGGGCAATAGGCTCTGCTCAGTGTTTATGACACAGTTTTTGGCAGTCACATCACGCTGTTGACTTACACTTACCCTTTATTTTTGAACTTTGCGTATTTAGATCTTATGGATATCTAGGGAAAGCCAATTTGGCCACTACCAGGATGCAGACATGTTCAGAGGACTAGAATTCACCTCTCTATTAAGGTAAGTGTGTACAGGAATGAGTGGGGATCCTGGCTGCTTTTGTGTCCTAGTGACATATGTAGTTCATACTCTAATTTCATACTATGAACTCCAGAGCTGCTTCCCTAAGCTATTAGAAGACCTGTGCAGGGAGGACACTGCTGTGAAAATATTGGATTGCTTCTGAAAACCTGCATTTCCAGAACCTGCTCCCTGTGAGGTTAGCTTCATTCTTATGGAAAATAGCAGTTACACATTAAAGATTTTCAGCAGTCCCAAGCCAAGAACGCACACTATAACAGCATTGTGGCAAACACAAGCACAAACAGTTATAGGTTACTGTAGTAATCAAACATTATTGTGTGAAAGCTTGGGAATAACCTTGGGAAGCCAAATAGATGGGCTTCAGGACACATTCCACAGCTGTATCCTCACTTCTCATCATTTCTTTTCCCAGGGCTTAGGAGAGAGCAAACTAATCTGCATACCAGTCTGCCATCTTCATTACCTAGGAGATAAACCATTTCTCCAAGGATTTCTTTACCTCCAGCCACCAATCCTCCCCTGCAATTTAGTTTGCATTTGTATTGCTCATTTGGTTGTTATTTATAAAGTGGCAGAGATTAGGTTTCAGAGTAAAGTTGGATTTGGTGCTAGAGTTCATAACTACCTTTTTAAAAATAAAATTTCCTTAATAAGCCAAAAGAAGGGGGAATTGCTCCTGGGAGGATGCTGACTAGGTCTTAGGATGAAACATTCTTTCTGCACAATTCCTGATAGTGGTTGTTACTCTCCAGTCTCTGGCTACTGGTGCTGCATGAAGCCAGAAGCCTCACTTTGGAAGTAAAGTTACAAAATGATTAAAGGTGAGCCAGTATTTCCAGAGCTATTTGTTTCTATTAAAATGGAAGGGGAAGTTTTGAACTCTGGCTGCTGGCATAGAAGATATGGTTTGGATGTTTGTCCCCTCCAAATCTCATGCTGAAATGTGATTCCTAATGTTGGAGGTAAAGCCTGGTGTGAGGTGATTGGATCATGGTGGCAGATCCCTGTGAACGGCTTAGCGCCATCCCTTCGTGATAAGTGAGTTCTTGTCCAGCTCATGTGAAATCTGATTGTTTAAAAGAGTCACGGACTCTCTTTCTCTGGCTCCTACTCTCACCATGTGATGCACCTGCTCCTCCTTCGCCTTCTGCCTTGACTGGAAGTTTCCTCTTGCCAGGAGCAGATACTGGAGGCATGCTTGTACAGCCTGCAGTACCGTGAGCCAATTAAGTCTCACTTCTTTATAAATTACCCAGCCTCAGGTATTTCTTTACAGCAATGCAAGAATGGACACAGGAAGAAAAATCTTGGTCAAGTCAACCTGTAAGATTTGTCCTTAGTTTTGTGCTTCTCAGTGTTGCCCAAATTAAATGATAGATTTATAAACCAGATCTCAATGTACTGATTTACAGTGAGGGGATTCTCTCTTATGAATTCTGGAACAATTAAGCCCATTGTCCTGAGCATTGTTTTCTGAAATGATAGCTCCACCTAGGGAAGGAGTCAGTATTTGGAGCCTGGTGAATTAGATTCCAGATATACAGATTAGACTACTCTTGCAGGATTTAGGCAAAGCACTGAAGGGTCATCTTCCACTGACAAGGATTCTAGGTCTGCCTTCATAGCAATCTGGAAGCAACGCTCACCTACACTTGCATTTCGGCTCTCCTCCATTTAGTCTTTACTTCACTATGCACCATGCCCAGCTAATTTTTAATTTTTTTGTAGAGATGGGGTCTTGCCACATTGCCCAGGCTGGTCTCTTTTAATAATTATGCAACCTCAAAGAACAGTTTTCAGCTTCACCATTAGTAACATCACTGTTATGTCCTTCTAGGTTTGTATTCTTAGAGGTTGAAAGTCCATAGTTAAGTACTCAGGCAAGGAGACCTGGTTGACCTATTCTAGCATAGCCTATCTGTAGGCCTTGAGACCATTATCATTACCCTTTCTATGTCTTTAGTTTCCACATCTATAAATGGGTATATAAGTAACTCTCTTATCTCATGGAGCTATAATGGGGTTGTAAGAAATAATTCCTGTGAAGTTCTAAGTATGTGTGGTAGGCAGCCTCTATGGTGGCCCCAATGAGTCTCACCTCCTGGTGTTCACGTCCTTATGTAGTCCCCTCTAACAGTAAATAGGGCTGATAGGGATAATTAAGACATGCATTATATCCTTAGTGGAGAATAAAGTGGCATTGCTGTCAGCATTATTCACTGAAGAAGTGGGCCTGGCAATACAGATGTCAGCAAACTGGAGGAGAACTTAGAATTTGACTGTTCTAGTCCCTTCGCCCGAATTGTTCTTTAAAAAAATAGTTCTTCAAAATGCTCTCCAAAACGATCTTTCAGGTTCAAAGAAGTTTGGAGAATATTTAATACTAAACTATCCTTTTAGGGAGGCACCATGAACCTTTCTCTGATAAATTTTTATTTTCATTTTTCTCGCTTTTTGTTTTTTTGGGACAAGGTCTTACTGTGTTGCTCAGGCTAGAGTGTGGTGGCGTGAACACAGCTCACTGCAGCCTTGATATCCCAGGCTAAGCGATACTCCTCCTTCAGCTTCCTGAGTAGCTGGTACCACACACCACCACAGCCGGTTTTATTTTTTTGTAGAGACAGGTTCTTGCCATGTTGCCCAGACTGGTTTCGAACTCCTGGGCTCAAGTAATCCTCCCATCTTGGCCTTCCAAAGTGCTAGGATTACAGGTATGAGCCACAGCTTCTGGCCCTGATTTTTTTTTTTTTTTAAAATTATTATAAAAGCAATACAGGCTCTAGTAGGGGGGCAGACAAAAAACACTAAAAAATTCAAAGGAGAGCCTTCTAAAGACATCTTTAGAAGACTTCAATTTCTAATTGCCAAATTCCACTCAGGAATAGAAAGCAGCTGGGAAGATCCACATCAGATTCTTTATGTTCCACACACAGCCCCAAGCCGTTTGTCTAACAACGTGGGCTTTGGAGCTAGTCAGCCTGGAGCCTCCTGGTTCTTCCACTTGCTTTTAGACTTTAGTTAAAAGATAACTTCTGTGTAACTCAGTTTCCTTATTAGCACAACTGGGAAAATAACAATACTAACATAAGGGAATATTGTGAGAATTTAATGAAATAACAGGCAAGATTTTTTTAAAAACTATTATAGACTTATTTCTGTAATGTATAGATTTATCCATTTCTGACCATTGCAAAAAAAAAAAATCACTACTTTTATAACAAATAACAGTTTAGTGACTTTTAAAATATAATTTTGAGTGGAAAAGTTCTTTTAAAGCATGGCGTGAAACTTGCAAACCATAAAAGAATGATTGCTCAACTTGACTACATGCAAATTAGCATTTATGAACAAGAACAAACCTCACTAACAACGTTAGAAGACAAACGGCAAAATAAAAAATTGTTGTGTATAGAAAAAGCTCCCATTTCTTTAACGCATGAAGAACTTTTCCAACTAAATAGATTAACCCAGTAGAAAAAGAAGCACAAACTAAGTACTGTACTTTGGACACACACACACACTTTGCCAATATGCAAATGAGAGTCAGAGACATGATCTTTTTCCTATGAAATTGGCATGTTTTAGAAGAGTGTTAGTGAATATACAGGGTTACTAAGTATGTATAAGAAAATGGTGGCTGGTCATGGTGGCTCATGCCCGTAATCCCAGCACTTTGGGAGGCCAAGGCGGATGGATCCCCTGAGGTCAGGAGTTCAAGACCAGCCTAGCCAACATGGTGAAACCCTGACTCTACTAAAAATACAAAAATTAGCCAGGCATGGTGGCACATGCCTGTAATCCCAGCTACTCGGGAGGCTGAGGCAGGAGAATTGCTTGAACCCAGGAGGTGGAGGTTGCAGAGGGGTGAGATCACACCACTGTACCCCAGCCTGGGCAACAGAGTGAGACTCTGTCTCAGAAAAAAAAAAAAAAAGAAAATGGAAATATTAAAGTACTATTTGTGAAGGTAAACTGGTATAACTTTTGTTGTATCATATAAAGTGTGAATTTGAATAAAGATTTTATAAAAATGCATACCACTTGAACCAAGAATTGCACTTTCAAGACTTGGTCTACCGATATGCTTTTGCACGTGCACAAAGATTTATGTGTAATCATGTGGCAGTGTTTTTGTACTTGCAAAGTTACGGGACATAGAATGTGCAAAGAAAGCTTTAAAAAGTTTTGTAGTAGAGAAATCTTAAATTTTTTTTTAAAACTAGCACTTACTAAACTTTAGCGCCTTTGAATCCTGCTTTAAGAATAACACCAACTACCATCCATAGGAAGTAGAATTCTCTAAAAAGCACTGTAGAAAATGCTGTTCTTGTAAAAACTTTCCAACCATTAATTACCTGGAGCTGTGGCTTTAAGAATTACAAGCAGGAAAGTACTCAAAGATCAAAGGACTCAGCATAGAGGAAAAAACATCTGTGGTCTTTGTTTCTTGAGGAAGTTCTCTTCCTAGAAGAGAAGGGTTTTTTATTGTTTTTTTTGTTTTTTAGCCTGGTTGGAAATGGATGACTTTAAAATTTGCATGAAAAAAGAACAAAGGAGTTCTGCTTCCTTAAAGGCTGTAGACATTAGCAAAACTGAAGGTGCCTTCCACCCTAATAAAAAGTCATGTTATCTACACGGTCCTAACTTTTCTTGAGCCCATCAGGGAGCTGAGGTCCAAAGGCAACCAGGTAGACAGAATTCCAAAGAATGACAAGGAAAGAGGCACGTGAGCTCTTTCAGTTTTGGCAGCTCATGGTGGGAAGAGGGGGCCGCCACAGAATTGGGTAAAAAAGAAAAAAAGCTAAAACAAATACTACATCTTAAAGGCTGAATATGAACCAACATGGCAGTTTAGAAACCCTGGGTGTCCCAGACACGAGAGATGACTGCTGTCACTCACCAGCTCTTTTCCAGGGACTCCCTCACAAAGACGAGGTAGGATAGGGGCCTGGAATGGTGTCCTTCAGAGGCGAGAGGCCTGCCATCCTCACAGGCAAGACCTGAAGCCGCTGGTGGAGGAGAGGAAGCCCTTCAGCTCCCAGCATCCAGGCTGTCCACCACTGCTGGGAGAGCAGAGTGAGCCAAAATTATCTACACCTGAGGGAACTGAGTTGTCTACACCTGGGGGACTTACGGTGCACTCTCTCCTGCCTTTTGGGAGCAGGATAGGAGCAAGAACGCTGAGAAAAGCCCGCTTATGTGGCCCAGGTGCTCCAGGTCTGCCTGGGTCTGAGGCTGCACCTGAGGAAACATGCCTGCCTCCACCAACAACCCAGCACCAGGTAGCCAGCACCAGTGGGCTAGCTCTGGGCAGGTGCAGGGAGGAGAGCAGCAGGGA
Source organism: Homo sapiens (assembly GCF_000001405.40). Lineage (NCBI taxonomy): Eukaryota > Metazoa > Chordata > Mammalia > Primates > Hominidae > Homo > Homo sapiens. The sequence continues at coordinate 80,895,293 of NC_000010.11, forward strand.
CCACTGACGGCTGAGGGTGGGGCATGAAGAGCAGGCAGCAGCGGCTCACCACTAGAGGAATTCAGATCCATGCGGCACTGAAGGTAACCTAGCACCCCAAACCCCACCTCTGCTCACCTTACTCACCAGACTGACTCAATTCCTACCTCCCGTTCCACAGACTGGACACAGCTGAGGAAAGAAACGTGAACATTGGAGTCAGGCCAATAGAAATGGTCCAAACTGGAACCCAGTGAGAAACAAGAGTAAAAAAAGGCCAAGGGCTCTCCCTGAATGTTAGCTTGGAATCTAAAAATGTATCATGATTCTATGAAATCATATTGATAACTCTGATATTGTTTCCTTGATATTGTTTCCTGGTTTCTTGGACCTGTTAACATAGTGAAGGTTCCTGTCAGATCACTGTCTGGTGCGTGGTGCTCCTAACACATGATGAGAGGAATTATAAGCTTCCAATATGACAATGACACTGGAAATTCCTTAAAAACAAAGCAGAACCCAGCGTAGTGATTGCGTAGAGGAAGAGTTTGGTAACTTTACCTCTCATCTTTGCTGTGAACGAAGTCCTCAGTGAAGAAAGGCTGGTTTTTCACAAAATGTGTCTTTTTATATCATTCCCCTTTTAAATTTGTATATTCAAATGGATCTACCCTACATGGAGGATATGCTTACAGTCATTCTCCTTTATTAGACTGTTTATTCCAGAAGCTATGACCATTTCTGCCTTTGTTTCCCCTAACTGCTAAGCAGGAGGAGAGAGAAGAAATTATGCATTTTGTGAGTGAAGAAACTAAGGCTGAAGGAGGTTGTGAATATTTTACGTTAAGGAGAGACAGGAAAAAAATCCTCTAATGTGTTGTCTTTGACTAAACTATGAGGCTGCTCCATTTTTTATCTTAGCAACTTATCATTTTTCCCAGGGTCAATGACTACTTGCAAAAAACAGTAAGTCTATATTCGCCCCAGGAAAAGATCTGATCTGAATACCAGAATACCACGGGCACATGTAGAGATATGGGTCTCCTGTTTATAGTTGATATTTCTACATTAAGATGAAACAGCTGCCAATTCAAAACTGCAGCCCTCCAGCAAAGCCCCACGGCATTATAAAAAAGCATATACTCTTGGCCCTTTCCAGCTGTCAGCCTCACTGCTCACCTTTCGTCTTGCATTTTATTATAGATATTTTGACCAGGATTTTATAATGTGGAGCAGGAGAGGAATTCACCCGTTCCCTGTCATAAAACACCATCTCCACTGAGAAAACAGGGAAATTGGAGCAGAAGCTTGGTGTCTGAAAATATGATTTTGCCTGGAGAGGATCCAAGGCTGTCATCTTTGCAGGCAGCATGGCATAGTGGTTAGCTTTAGTGAGCTGCAACTTGGGATTGAGATAAAATCTAGTCCAAACTAACATTGTTTAAGTCCCTCATAAAGTGAGGAGTATGGGTGTGGGACAGGAATGAGACTGCCTGAGGGATCTAAGTGGCTGCCACAGAGGAGAGGGATGAGACGATGCTGTGCAGAGAACCAAGCAGGTATTGCAGACCTTGGCCCTGCACACCCAATCTCTGAATAATATTGTTTGTTTTTTTTCCAGAAACTGTAACCCAAGGTCCTAGGGTTTTGGATATGCACGGTGAAAAACTACCCACTTGTAACTGTGGCACCGTGAATTCTTTGTCATCTCAAAATGTTCTAGGAAGAAGCTCAGCCCTGGAAAAACAAAAACGAGTTGGATCCAGAGATAGCTGAGTTGGAGATAAACTTTGGTGAACTCTCCTCAGTACCCTACTAAAACCCTTGCCCAGGGAGGAGCTTATTTTCCCTTTGGTTTGTACTTGTGATGTGGGTAAAAGCATGATCAGTAACTGCACCTGCACTGCCTTTACTCCTCCGCTACATACGATGACTCAGCTGACCAGCCCAGTAAAATCCCTGTTTTTACCATTGTTCGGGGAGGAGCTATCTCGGGAACTATCCTGGATGTCTTCCTTACTTGTTGCAAATAATAAAATCTCCTCGTTACATCCTCCTTGGTTGTGGTCATTGGACTGTCACCTGCCAGGTGATTGAACCCACCCATTGTGTGGGTAATGAAAATAGTAGCTTTCACATTTCCTGTTTTATCTATATTGCTAAAATTAAATTCTCCTCTAGATATGGATACCTACCAATAAGGGCCAATGGCTGGGGTAGAATTGGGTGAGTTCTGCATAATTTTTCAACCAAATCTCCATTTCAAATGCTGTCTCTTCTTTATCAGGTCTGTTATTCTGCCCTTTGGAAATCTCCTTCTATGGGTAGGGCTTTTCCCAGTTCTGCATGTGGGGTTGAACTTGCAGATAACACTTGATGCTTATGGCAGAGGAACAAGGTTTTGCCTGTCTCTTCTCAGGTGCTATTTCCTTAGGAAACTGGCTGTGACATGTACGCCTGGAGAGCCACCGCTGTGCTGTCTTGGGAGCCTCCTGAAGGCCTGGGAGACAGACCCTTGGCTCTTACTTCTTTGCAGATTCGTATGGCTTACCAGCATTTAGTCTCTTGTTTCTCACTCCAAATCCAGTGATCTAGTTTCTGCATCACAGATTTTAAATACGGCTGTTCTCCAGATATATACGATTATAATTCAAAACACATACAAATACCACGTTAAGAGAATGCAGTTTTTTTGAAAGATAAAAAGCAGATAAATCATGTATGTATCTTATGGTTGCAATAATAGCTACACTAATGTTTATGTCAAATCTCAAACGAGAACAAATAGCTTAACTAATGGTGTGTAACAACTCCCACTGTGAAATACAATAGGACTTGTTAGTTCACCATGTAGGATACTTGGAAAAAATGGATTTTTGAATAATCTGGGATAAGCTGACCTATTTTTTTATGTAAGAGGAGAATAGAAGTTGCTTTGAATTTAATATGCCTTACTACCAAAAACCTATAAAAGTTTTACTTTACGGACATAAAGTCTCAGTAATGAGAAGGTATTTTGGTATATTTATAACCTCTAATTGCAATAGGTCAATTATGTGTATGTTATACATTATATAGGTGTGTGTGTTGTGTGTTAATACATTATATGTGAGTGTGCTATATGTATATGTTTGAAAAAGAGATTACTCTTCACCTGATGGGATAATTCAATTGAGTTGAATCATAAAACTTTATTTTTATACTCTAGGTATTTCAAAATCACCATTGTAAATGTGAAAATATAAATGTTGGAAATACTGTAAACCTTGTTTTATGGATTCATTTAATTTTAAATATGAGTGATTTATTTTCGTTGAGTCAACATTTTAGAAGAACAAAGTTATGAAATATTAAAGAGAAAAAATTTTACCTTTATTTTCTTGCAACTGAGGGTACACATTCCAAAGGACAGTCTTGGTGATATAAAGCTGGGCTCACAAAAGAATGTCTTCAAACACTTGTTAATCACCTCAGGAGAGGAAGTTGTGACATCCACATTTTTTTGTTGTTGTTATTCACCGATGAGCACATAGATGAAAGGTTATAGCTGGTCCTCACTTGAAATGGTACTTCACATACGTGTTCATTAAATTTATGATAACTGAATTTACTAAGAACTATAGTTTATGAATGGAATCCAAAATTTTGCTATTGGATAACCTCTAAAAAGACATTGCAGTGGGTTTTTGTTGCCCTGGAATTCCACTGGCTGCTTTCAAATCCTACAGATTGGTTGAACATAATATAAAAAGAACTTCTGGGTTAGTAAGCCAGCCAAGGGACACTGAATATTCAATGAGTAATGTTCTCAATGCCAGCTCACAGATATAGCTCAGCCTCTCTTAGTCAAAATGGAGTTGACACTGTGCCCTCTCAGGAAAGAATCCTAATGCTATATTAGTAACTTTCAATCAAGTTAATGAAAAGATTGCCATTTTGGAGGATAATCCTTGGCATAGGCCTGTAGTATTCTCTGCATTTTAAAAGTTTAAAATAATTTTACTGAGGAATGTCCTGGAGTCATCAATCTAGATCAGCTTTTCCAGTTACTACATGCTCTTTTAAAATTGGGATTCAAATATTCTTTTATTTCAGGAAAAGTATTTTTGAACTATACATTTAAATATGTTATATATATATTTTTTTAGTTTTAGCCACTGGAAGGTGGCTGAGGACCTAGTAACACTCTGAGGCATCCTTTTTAATTGATCATAAATGAGCATCTTTCTAGCATCCTCATCTGTGGGCATCTGAAGGTATCCACTCTTTAGATCTGATTCTGAATATTATTGATTCCCTTCATAAGCTACCAGGGCAGCCTAAATTTCAGGGAGTGGGTATTGATCTACTTTGGTATAATTATTCTGCCTATGATGACCAATTCTAATTTTGCTTTTTATTTGCTGCATACCCATGACAGGAGATACATAGGGCTTCCGAGACACAGATATAAAGCTATTGACTAAAAATTATTGAATATCATCTCAAAATCATTAACTGTAACAGAGCTATTCTTCTTGAGAAGTTCTTCCTAAAAGGTTTAGGATCTCACAAAACTGGATCTAGCTGCTCCTCTTTTCCACAGCTCCCAACATACTCAGTGTATGTAGCACCTCACTCCTAGCCAGTGGTGTGCTGGCAAATAAATGTTTAACAACTGGCTGTCTGGGAGAAAAACCAAATTAAAACAAACCAACAAAAATCCCTCCATTATAGCACCTGCCAATTTTGTGGTATAAATACTTTCATCCTGGCTGATTTCAAGCTACAAATATGATGTCACTGAACATGGAGTTGGGAAGAGATCCTTGCAATCAGGTGTGAGCTTGCTCCAGCACACCATTGCTCCTTGTCCAAAAGCCTCACTTTTAACCTCTGCTTTCCTCCTGCACGTGCTGGAAAACTGTTGAACTCGAAGTGATTCAAACTCGGTTTCCCTTGGTCCGACTCTGTGAACTTGATCAGCTGGAGTGGAGGAAGCTGTCTTTAGTTGTTACTACGTGGTGGCATATATGCATCCAACGTTACATAGCAGAAACTTTAGCTGAATACATTTCCCCAATTACTACAAGCAACATGAGTCTAGAGTTAGTCCCAATTACTCTTGCTAGTTGAATCTGGTAGTACTCAACTGAGAGTGATTTTCCTGCCCGATAACATTTGGTAATGTCTGGAGACATTTTGAATGTCACAACTGGGGAGACAGTGGTATGGCATATACTGAGTAGGGGCCAGAGACTCTGCTAACATCCTACAATGCACAGGACAATCTGCACAACAAAGAATTATCTGGCCCAAAATGCCAATAGTGCTGAGGGTGAGAAAGCCCGGTCTAGTCAGATCCAGGCATGCCACAGAAATAGGGTACATTGCAGACTTCATCCTCCAACTTCTTGTTGG